>NC_000008.11:15011617-15314648 GCF_000001405.40 Homo sapiens | reverse complement strand
CCGAGCTGAAACAAGATTTTACTTACCATACAGTGAAAACTCTGTAGGATATAACTGAAAGGAACTAAGTCTCAAAATAGAATCAGTGAAATCCTATTTAGAAAGTTTTTTTTTTCTGTTTTTACTGCAACTCACTTTAATAATCGCCGCTATTCATTAAACAGTAATGGACAGGGACTATTTTAAGAGCTATACTTCTATTAACTCATGACATGTTCATAAACGCCATGAGGTAGGCATTATTATTATTTTCCCCATTACAGATGCGAAAACGTCGTGGAAGGAGGTTGTGAGCCTTCCTCAAGGTTGCATGTGGAGCTACTCAGGCTGCTCTGCCCTGGGGCTTGCAGTCGCGGAGAATATGACCCATTCCTCTCTTACACAAAAAGATGGTTTCTTTACTTTGCTGTTAATACTGCTTCTAACACCGCAGAACATTCACCATCAGACGCTGGAATGCTTATTTCTGACAACTCATGGGATTAAAATATAATTTGGTAATCATGAAAGGCACGTTCTCGGCAGTATTTCAGCGTGGTTAGGATTCACTCCTCCGGACATATGACGGGAAGGGAGATCCAGGAGCCTCATTCACATGGAAATCCGCAGTCACCTTGACGGTGGTGGCAGGCTCACCATAGTTTTAAAATTTTTCTTCTTTTGGAGACAGTGTCTTGCTTTGTTGCCCAGGCTGGAGTGCAGTGGCACGATCATGGCTCACTGCAGCCTCGACCTTCTGGGCTCAAGCGATTTTCTCCCCCCGAGCCTCCGGAGTAGCTGGGAACACAGGCACAGGCCACCATGCCCAGCTAATTTTTTTTTTTTTTTTTCCCGCAGACGGGATCTATGTTGCCTAGGCTGGTCTTGAACTAGACTCAGGGGATCCTCCCTCCTCAGCCTCCCAAAATGCTGGGATGACGGGTGTGAGACACTGCACCCTGCCAGGCCCAGGACAGTTTCATATGAAAGGTTTACTTGCCATATGGGCTTCTCTGACCTAAATGCAGTAAATTCGTATTATTTTCATTTTTTATTTCAATAGGTTTTTGGGGAACAGGTGGTGTTTGGTTACATGAATAAAGTTCTTTGGTGGTGATTTCCAAGATTTTGGTGCACCCATCACCCAAGAAGTGTACACTGTACCTACTGTGCAGTCTTTTATCCCTCACCATCCTCCACCCTTTGCCCTGAGTCCCCAAAGTCCAATGTATCATTCTTATGCTTTTGCATCCTCATAGCTTAGCTCCCACATATGAGTGAGAACATACGATGTTTGGTTTTTCATTCCTGAGTTACTTCACTTAGAACAATAGTCTCCAATTTCATCCAGGTGGCTGAGAATGCCATTATTTTAAATGCAGTAAATTATTAAATAAATAAATAAATGAACACACAGGTAGGTCAGTAGATAGCTAGATGGACAGAGAGACAGATAAATTCATGCTGCCAAAAAATTTATTTGGTTGGAATTTAGACGACTGAAAAGCTCAAATCTTTCTTTTCTGGCTTAAACATTCTTTACTTTATCCGCTCATTCAATAATTTTTTTGAGATAGTGTTTTTGGTTCTGGAGAAGCAAACAGTCACTGCCCTTGGAGGTGGACAGACGTGGAGAGGCTGCTTGTACTGGGTAAGGGAGTGGTGGCCAGAAGGGGTCCACCACCTTGGTTCTCTTACTGATGTGTTGAAACTTACCCATGTTTTTGTTCCCTGTGGCCTCTTTGAGGTTTCTCAGACATCACGGGATTTGCTTGGACTTTTGTTGGCTGTACCTTCTGGCCTCATTCTTGTATGCTGGGCTGCTGTTTTCTTCTTGAATTTATTACTCCTTGGCTTTCAGTGTTGCGGCTGTTCCATAACTTTTGGTTTTCAGAAACTGGACTTTGTAGTCATCTTTTATAAACTACGTTTTCAACTATATCTAGGGTTTTAGCCAAGAAAGAAGACCTCATTGTGTTCTTGTTTTCCATCTCGAAAATGAAAATTGATGTTGTAAATGCTGAAAAATATTCTTCAAAATCGTGCTTTGAATTTGTATTCAGATCCTGAAACATGTTTCTTGGAATTGCTCAGTTTATAAAATTTTTCACCCTCTGAATTAGCTGCAATAAATTTTATATTAAGTTTGAGTAAAATGTGTGAAGAAATGGAATAAGAACATTTTTCGGAAAAAGTAAAATTTGTGAGTGGTATGGCCATAAAGTCCTGAAAATGATTTTCTTATTGTTTTAATTGTCAGCATATCAGAGAATTAATTGTCAGCGTATCAGAATTAATTGTCAGCGTATCAGAGCCTTTACTCATTTATTTGCGTATTTACTCTATTTGTTCAGTAAATATTGGTTCTGTGCGAGATATTTGCTGTGCACTTTTTTAGACCCTCTCAACATGTTCTCTGATCATTTTGGAAAAATATTACAATTGAGCATACAATTCCAAAGACACTTTATGTGTACAGAATTTTTACAAATTACTTTTCTCCCCCTTTACTTGAATGCAAGCATAGTTATTAGTTGTAACATCTCTAGACAAAATACAGTGAAACATTTGCATTAACATAGATTTACTTCCAAAAAGGTATAATGAAATCATAATTTCTATACTTCGGAGACACGGAGTTATTTGTGTTAGAGCTAATAAAAACTACAACTACATTCAGATTATGAGATTTATGTATATCTTGTTCAAGATGTTTCAGCTAAATGTTGTTAAACTACTTAACTATCATGGCTGGTTGTTAAGTCGTGATTGTATAGCTTTTGTTTATCTAACATAGTATCTTTACCAGTAAGTCTGACAAATACAGAGCTAAGAAAGAACTCAAGAGTTCTGGTCTTATTTCCCTCGTGTGTTAAAATTGCATTTGTTGCTCTAGCAGCCTTAACTTTCTGACATCTGAGTTTCCTGATCTTTCCTCAGGACAGAATCTCCTTGTCTGAAGTATTTCCTACCTCACACTCCAGATATAGAACACATAAATAGAATGTATTTTTAAAAAATGTTTGTGTTTTAATGAGTTATATGCAAGGAAAACTATTTTTGAACACAGTGCTCTCCTAAAAAAGTTTCATAAATAACATTGCCACTTATATTTCAAGCAGTACAGTATCAGAATTATTTATATATGTATGTATGAATGTATTATGTGTATGTTTAAAGTTTTATAAACTAAATCTAATTAGTTAGCTCTGTATTGGGGTTTAGGATGCTAACATTTTGTTCCTTTGTTCATTCAGGCTAGCTAAAGAAGGCTGTTTAAAATATACATTGATTTTTTAAAAATTTGGTGTCAGTTTTCTCAGTAAATTATTTATTCTTATTTAATAAATGATAACTTAAAAGTAATAATCTGTAATTTCAGCGCCTACCTATCTTCTGTAAAAAAAAATAGAAAGGGAGAAAAATCTAATATTAACCACAAATATAACCAGTATAATTAAGTAATGCAGAAATCAAAGAAATTATTTAGATAAATCCTGTGTTATATGTGCTTGCACATTAATAATATTAATTCTCACGTTGCCAGGACAGGTTTAAAATTCAGCAGTCTCCAACTTTCAAATAATTCTTAAATGATGTACCTTGACATTTCCAGAGACATCACATGCTTTAAGTTCGACCACTTACATTCATGATTTCAACATGAATTTGAAACTAATAATTTTCTTTATAAGATTTATGATTATTTAAAGATTACTTTGATCCTGCTTCTTGGCTTGGGTTACTTTTAATTTGTTTACCATGTAAAAAAGAAGCATTAATATTGTTGCTAGTAAAATGCCGACAGTGTAAAAAGGTATTTCCCTTAGTTACGTTGAGGGTGGCTACTAAATTATGGCTAAGGTTAGTGAAAATTTTCAAGGACTCTATGTTACAGAAAATACTGCAAAATTATTTGTTTCCCTCAGGCTTTACTGAACAGTGCCAAGATTAGAAGGCTTCTGAGAACAAACTTACAAAATTCTCTTGGACAAGACTCTAGTTGCCCATCAGGAGTGAGGGAGACTACACTGGAATAGCGGAACGGCAGCCTTTACCATTTGGAACAATAGAGAAGGTCAGGGAGCACGGAGAGAGTGCAGAAAGCCTACACCTTTGCTTAACCTCTTGAGGCAATATTGGGTACGCTCACCTGGTTTTCTTTGCCAAAGCTAAGGAAATGGGACTTCTGAAGAATAATTCCTAAACTTTGGTTGTGTCTCCATTGGGGTAGGCTGCCATCTTCCCTAGCTAGAAATCTATTTTACTCCAAGTCTGCTGGTTTGCCTTGGTGCTCTGGACAAGTGACAAGTGGGGAGAGATGGCATAGTGGGATGCCCAATCAGAATGGAGGGAATAGACTACCCTCTAGAGTGCCCAGGTTCTGAGGCAAGTGGAAGATGAATCCGGCCTGTGACCACGGTCTCCAGTGTGATGAAACAGCAGGCTGAAATCTTGTAGGAAACACTACAGGATGACAAAGGCACTGGCCCCTTAAAAGAATGAAGCATCGGGGTTATCGATTGGGGGCAGCTAGAAAATGGAGCTGAGTCTTACAGGGGACTGTTTGTATCTTGGGTGCCAATTGGGATTGGTCCCTGGGTGGACAGCAGGGCCTCTTGCATTCTCTGCTCTTCCCCATTGCTCTTCCCTATAAACGTGAGCTAAACAAAGAGACAGATACTTAACCATGGGTACTTTCCCAAGGAGAAATTTCTCTCTTCTATCTCTACTTCAAAACCACATGGGTCAGTGCAGGGAAGAGTATGTGTGGGGAATGAGGGAGCAGCAGGTGAAAGAAGAGAGCAGACCAAAGAGAGAACTTTGCTTTGTGTTTTATTATTTATTTATTTGAGAACTTTGCTTTGAATACGAGTTCGAGTTTTTTTTGTTTGTTTGTTTTTTGTTTTTTGTTTTTTTTTTCTCAGACAGTTTTACTCTTGTTGCCCAGGCTGGAGTGCAAGGGCACGATCTCGGCTCACTGCAACCTCCGCATCCCGGGTTCAAGCAATTCTCCTGCCTCAGCCTCCCTGGTAGCTGGGATTACAGGCGCCTGCCATCACGCCCGGGTTATTTTTTGTATTTTTAGTAGAGACGGGGTTTCACTATGTTGGCCAGGCTGAACTCAAACTCCAGACCTCGGGCAACCCACCCACCTCAGCCTCCCAAAGTGCTGGGATTACAGGAAGTTTGAGATTTTTAAAAGAAAGAGTTAAAGTTTGTGAAATGAAAAGTGATCAAAAATTTAAGAACCAGATTGATTGGTTCTTAAGGAAGCCCAGTGCTCAGTACCCAGGGAAAGAGTAAATAAAGCCAAGGTGATAACAACTATTGGAAAAAATAAAACTACTTAGTTTTCATTCCCTAAATCTTGCAGTTATTTGGAAGCGTAGGCTATTACTGCGGGGAGTACCTGAGAGACACTATCTTTCTCCTTTTTGCATGACTGTCCCACAGCATATGCTCAATAAATACCATTGAACAGATTAATCTTTATGTTTTACCAGACAATTTAAATATTTTCTCTAGATTCAACTAGTAGGAAGTGTCAGAATAAACATTTGAACCCTATGACTTGACTCTCAATCCAGTATGTTTTTCTTTTTTGTTTGCTTTGTTTTTTGTTTTGTGTTTCTTTTAAAGTTAAGTTGTTGCTAAATTTGGATAGAAACACCACTTAGCTTAATTTTTAGGTCTAAATTAAAATACTACTTTGAAGTATCTACTTCTGAATTGTACCCACCTTTCAAAGAATAGAGTCTTTTGAACTTTGTTTTTTATTCATTTGCTGACCTGCTTGGTTTTGTTAGAAAAATGCAGGAACTACTTATCTCAGTGTATTCCTGAAGAAAATCTTGAGTTTAATTCAAAACTGCCCTGACCCTGGCTTGTGTGTGACTGATGTGTTCTTCAGAAATATCATCACTTATTGTCACTCTTTGAAGACTTAAATCATTTTGGAAGTTTCCAATTTGGAGAGGTCAGCATTAAAACTTCTTGAATGCCCATCACAACCTCTGATAAAATACAGTGACTACAGAGCATAAAATAATTTTTCATTATATTGCGGAAAATAGTTTAGAGGTCCTTTTTACAATCTTGAAGAAAAGTGAGTAAAAATTATTATGTAAAATGGAATTTTTGTATTATGAAGAAAGCAGGATAAGAAGACAACAATATAACTCAACTGAACAATCCCTGATGATAATAGTGAAAATGTTTGACAAGCCAAACTTGCAAGACACTAGAGATATTGAAGACAAAAGATTAATGGATGCTTGTCAACATGTCGACACACTATACTTTCATTTTAGCAACAGTAATGTCTATAGACACTACAAACCACTTCAATGGACACTGACAAGAATGTATTCAGCAAAACAAATGGTGGTACCTGTTATGAAGATTACCCTGACAAGTTTTATTTTATTATTTTTTACTTCTAAAAGGAGTCCATGATTTTGCAACTATAAAATCATGGCATATTTGTATGGATTCATTAACACACCATCGTTGACAATAACCTGTGCAGATATCTATGCGCCATTCTCCTTGCAATGGTGATTTGATTGCAGTTGTAGCAAAGGTTCTATGGTGCATAGCTGACAATATAAATGATGCACATATTTGTGAATGTTATAGATAAAATTCTGCCTATAATAAGGCATATAAATAAGATGCTAGAGATGATAAGTGTCAATAATTGATAATTAAAAGAATTTCAACCCTGTTGGAAAACATTTAATTGCAAATCTCCTCAAGGCTGTTCTTGGAGCTTTATTATGTAAGATCATGAAGGCATTTTTTCCAACTGAAAATGAAAACATTTCCTTCATCAGTGGAAACTCTCAGAAGAAAAAGTTGATTTAAAAATAAATTTCTAAGGCACAGAATTTGAATCAGCCACTTTATTCTGCTCTGTGGAAGCTCCAGAAGGCAGCAGATTTTGTTGAGGAAAAAGACGAAATCATCCAATGTAACGAGACAAAGACTTCCTCAACCCTATGTAATTCCCCCTTGTAAAACTTTGGTCTAGCTCTTTTATTTGTATGGCTTCCAAATTAAATATAGAGAATCAGGAATGGTATCACCACTAGCGGTTAAGTCTGAGATGAATGTGTGAGGGATCTTCTCCTGGTGAATAGGTTTCATGCATTTATCAAAAAGTAGAGAGTGAGTAATAAAATGCCATGTACATTTTCTTTCAACCACGTATTTTAGTTAATAATTATGGCTTCTTATCTTTCAGAAAGCCATAAAAAAGTCAAAGATAATTTTAGGACAAATAAATATGACTAGTTGTTATAAAATAAGTAGTAAGCATCACTAGTATGATATTTATTGAGTGATTCCCATGGGAAAAGCCATCGTAGCAAATAGTAAATATCATAGCCATCACTACAAAAGGTTATACAGTCAATATATATATATGCAATATATTTATTGCATTTTTGACTGTACAACCTTTTGTAGTGATGGCGATATTTATGATATGATTTATATTATATGATATATATATATATATGAATAGATCAGAGATTAATAAAAGACTATGAAATGGTAGGGCTGCACTGTTAGCCGAAGTCATTCTGGAAGAAAGTGGATATGGTCTCCCTTGGTGCCATAGTTGAGACACAGCGTAAGGATTGGTCTGAATAAGATACATTTTTAATGTTCTTTTGTCACTGCACACTGAATGTAGATTACTTATAGTGATAAATTCAACTTTAATGATTTAATGATCTATTCATCTATTTGATGAGCAGATAGTGAGTGCCTTTCATATATCAGGCACTGTTTTAAGTGCTAGGGATATAATGATTGTTAAGGCAGACAAAGCTTAAAAATCTAGTATTTGAGATAGAAACGTAAGTAAATTAGCGATAAAAGTTCAGGCACTTTAAAGGACTCTGCAGAAAAGTCATAGAATGAAAAGAGCTAAGTAGCGACCAGGAGGTAACATCAGACTGAGTTGTTATGTCACTGAGGTGCATTTAAACTGAGACCTGAAGAGTCAAGAGGAACAGCTGTGGGAAGACCCTTCATGGCAGAGAGAGTGCACAGTATAAAAACCATCAGGTGAAAAGAGGAGAGAATCATCTAGTAATATGAATAGACAGTGTGACTTGTAAGGAATGGACAAGGGAGATAATGGTCACAAATGAGGCTGGGAATGCTGTCAGGGGACTTGTCAGGGAAAACTATATAGAGCATGGTAAGAAGTCTGGATTTTATTAAAAGTGAAATGAAATTCATTCAAGGGCTTCCATCCATAGATAAAAAAATTATTATCTTGGTTTTAAAATGATTGTTTTGGCTGCTTTGTGGAAAATGGTTTGTTGGAGGAGGTGGTGAGAGTGGTACAGAATATCAGATACGATTCTATTGCTGGTGTCCAGTTGATAAGTGATGGAGGGAATAGAGGTGGGTTAGTGCTCAGATTCAGAATAGGTACTAGAAAGGCAGTAGTGAAGATTTGCTGGTGATTTCATTGTGTTTGTAGGGAGTAGAGGGAAGAAGCACCAATGATGGTTCCTAGGCTCTTGGCTAAGCAGCTTGGGCATAATTGTGCAGTTTAATGTGATTAGAAGGCCTGGAAGGAACAGGCTCAGGAGGGTGAACAGTTTGGTTTTGAAATGATATCTAACTGGAGATGTCAGAAATGCAGCTGAATACGTAAACAATGGAATTCAGAGATGATGAAAGAGCTGGAGAAATAGCTTTGAGGGTCATGCATATATAGATGATATACAAAGATTTGGCACTAGATGTAATTTATAGGAATGTGTATATACAGAAGAAAAGGTGGCACTTGAGCACTCCAGTATTTATTGCTTATGCACAAGTGGCTGCGTCCTGCAAAGAAAATGAGGACAGTTACCCCTTCTCTTCGCTTTCATCCCACAGCATCAGGATGTCACCTTGAGTCTAGGTCCAGGAGTCCAAAGATCCCAGTTCTAATCACAACCTATCAATTTTAAGCTTACTCAAACAGTAACTCCTACTGTTTTTTCCGCCATTCTTAAAACTTTTAAACCCTTAATTCTTCTTTAATCGCAAAGTCTGTCATGTCTTCTTCCATTTTTGTTTGTTTGTTTGGCTTCTCTCCTAATCTGGTCACCATTGCAAAAATACCTTTATCAGAATTATGAAATTCCTGATTCTGAATTTTCTCTGTGTAGCTTTTGAGTGGAGTACTCAGCTCTAGATGACTTTTATCGCTGGGTTTCACTGTTCCTTGTCCTAAACTAATGAACACCACTGCAGTAATTCACAAAAGCATCTTGAGGTGTCCACTGCAACTGCTTAGTTTCTACACACAACTGATGGACTTGAGATATAAGCCTTCCTATCATAGGCAGTTTTTTATTTACCTCTTATTGATCATCAGTCCTACCTACCACTGTGGTTTTTCGGCAAATGTGTCATTATTTTTATGGTCCATTTCGATTTTCCATTCTTTTACTCTCAGGAGATGTTGCTTGTATTTTTCTCCGGTTGTAGCAACATTTATACCAAATTCTTATAACCTCACCTATCTTCCCTTCAATTCACTCCATTCTTTGCTATTCTTTCCTTTCCTATTCAGTTCTAACCCATATGCTCTATATCCCCATTCGATTTTCTCTTAGTAATTTGTTTTGTCAGTTACTTTCCCCAAATTCTTCTTTAGTATACACTTCATTTTGCATAAGTATTGCCACCCTCTACCTGCAAACACAGTATTTAGGTCTTTCCTGTTTTTGCTTTTTGAGACAGGGTCTTGCTCTGTTGCCCAGGCTGGAGTTCAGTGGTACAATCATAGCTCACTGCAGCCTCAATCTCCCAGGCTCAAGTGATCCTCCCATCTCAGCCTCCTGAGTAGCTGGTACTACAGGTGCATGCCAGCACTCCTGGTTATTTGAATATATATATATATATATATATATATTTTTTTTTTTTTTTTTTTGAGAGATGCAGTCTCACTATGATGCCCAGGCTACTCTCCAACTCTTGGGCTCAAGCGATCTTCCTGCCTTGGCCTTCCAAAGTGCTGGGATTATAGGCGTGATGACAGGCATGAGCAACCCCACCTGGTGTTTCCTCTCATAAACATCTGTCTCTCAAGTTACCATTGTTTATCTCTTTCTTTCATGATCACACATCTTGAAAAGTTAGTTTACACTTGCTGCCTCCACTACATTTCCCCCTTTCCACCTCTTCTTGTTTAAATTCTTAGCCCGCTACTTAAATGACTCCCTAATCACCAGTTCTACTCATAACTTTTCAAGTTGTCCTCCTCCTTCCTCTGTTCACATGATCAGCGCCTCCACCTGCCTTTGTGAGTTTCCCTTGTTTCCAGAACATTAACTTATTTTTTTCTCACTTATTTTGAACTTTTTCTCTGTTGTGTTTACTCTTCTTACTTTTTCACCGTTTATTTTTGTTTTTCTTAAGTTTCATTAATTTTTACTGTTATTGTCATCATCATGATCATCATCTTTGTTTTCATCTCTTTTCCCTGTTCAAAATTTTACACCTCCAAGGTTTCTTCTTTCCAAACTTATTCTCTATAGAGCTACAGAGTTCTTATCTTGCGTGTCCAGATGCCAGATTTATATCTACGTCCTGCTATATTTTTTACTGGCACCCTAAACTTAACAGATATAAAAGTGAAGCACTCTGTTTCATCCAAACCAATTGTTTCCCCTAACTTTGAAATTTTGATTCATAATAGAATAATTGGCCGGGCACAGTGGTGCATGCCTATAATCCCAGCACTTTGGGAGGTCGAGGTGGGTGGATCGCCTAAGATGAGGACTTTGAGACCAGCCTAGCCTACATAGTGAAACCCCGTCTCTACTAAAAAATAAAAACAATAGCTGGGCGTGGTGGTGGGAGCCTATAATCCCAGCTACTCAAGAAGCTGAGGCAGGAGAATCACTTAAATCTCGGAGGTAGAGTTTGCAGTGAACCAAGATCGCGCCATTGCACTCTAGCCTGCACGACAAAAGCAAAACTCCATCTCAAAAAATTAAATCAAACTAAATTAAATAATAACATAATAGCATCATTGTTTTAGTCACTCAGGCCAGAAACTTCCAGAAAAGTCATCGTGTTTTTTACGGTTGCTCACACCTGCCAGTAACTTCACCAACAAAGTGAAGTGATTTCGAGATCCAGATCCTTTCATCTTTGCCTCTGGATTCTGTCTGTCCCTCTCAATTTCCTTCATCAGTTGCCAGTTCCACTAGCTTGGAGTTGTACGCTGCGTTCTGGATTGTCTTTGATATCCTATTTCTTCATAATATAGTTTATGGATCCACACAATTTTTATATTTCTTTCACGTTAGTCTTCCTAAAACATGGACTTATTTAATTCTTCAAAGCAAAAATGTCACTCTATTGCTTAATAAAGTTATATATATCCAACCTTAAGTGTGATTACAATATCCCTTTTCAAATTGATGTTCCATTTTTTAAAATATTTGCCACCCAAATGACAGTATTCATCAAATTCTGAATATTCCCTTTATTTCTCAAAAACTTCGTTACTAATTTCTCTTGCTATTTCCTCTGCTTGGTAAATTTAATTCTCTGTTTCTATTTGTTGAAATTTTAAAACTACCCTTCCACATGAGGCCTTCTCTTATTTTTTTTTCTGACTTTTGAAATTAAAAGTGATTGCCTCCCTTGAAAAAGTCACCACTTAATTAAAGTCTAGATGTAAATTAGGGGTATGCTAACAGGTAAGCTTGTTGATTATCGGATGGAAAAGAGTACATGGAAAAGTCAAGGTCAATTACTCGGTCTCTTAACACAAGATACCAAAAGCTGAATGGGGTTAGTAAATTCTAATGCATTGGGAACAAATATAAGAAAGCAGGAAACTAAATATTCCAACAGAAAACCGGAGTGCCCGAAGGCAATGTAAGCTTTAAAGTGATGTTTCAAGGCCGAGTTTAATGTTTTAACTATTTCATAGCTTAATTTACCAAATCATGCCTGACTTGAATCCCTTAACCCTTTTTAGAGAGCTGTCTAATAGCATATTGTATGCCCTTTCTTGAATTCTGGTTAACTGTATCATCCTTGTTTACATTATCTAGTTTTTTTTACACTTACAAACACAACAATTTACATTATTTCTATTTATAATAGTGACTCCCCATGGCAGTAAATCTCAGTGGTTGGGGCAGGAGTGGCTTGGGAGCACCATGACGATAAGGGACACTAGAATTTGAGTGGAGGTGTCACGTACGGATTAAAAAAGCACCTCCGAAGTCATGAGCCCCCACCCTTACACCCAACCTTACTCTCAAACCAAGATACTCACGAGCGTACATTATCTCCTCTACCAAATTGTAAACTGAAGGAAGATGATAGGTATTATTCACTATTGTGTCTCTCAAATCGTGTAATAGAGTGTGCAGTACATAGTGGGGACTAATTAAATCTCTGTTATGATGGATTGAATAGGCAATTTTGAAAAAAAAACCCTTCGTAGAGTTTCCTTAGTTATAGAATTAGGGTAATTTTTCCTACTTGAATATAATGTAAGATCATCTTTACCTATAAGCCTGAGGGCAGATAACGTGATTTCTTACTTCCCTCTGATAATTATTCAACAAAATGGCTGATTCTACTGTTTTACTTATTAGAATGTTGAAACCTAGAAAAATCAAAATTTTAATCGGACAATGGAATTTAGTTTTATTCCAGACTCCAGAACCTTCTAATCTTTAAATTACTTTTTTTGTGTGAATATAACGAAACCTTAAAGAGAGAACAGAAAAGCTATGAATTCATATAACTGATTATTTAAATTGTTATAAAAGGAAAACATATGCCTTATGCAGATTATTTTGTTAATAGACAAAATGACATATTTGAGAAATTTATCTCAATGAATATTTCCTTTTCTCCTCAAAACCAATTTGATATTCCTCAAAATACAAGTAATGGAAACAATATGAGGGTTTTACTGTACATGACATATATTTTTTAAAACTTTTAATTTATTTTTTAATTTCCATAGATTTTGGGGGAACAGGTTGTGTTTGGTTATATGATTAAGTTCTTTAGTGGTGATTTCTGAGATTTTGGTCCATCCATTAACTAAGCAGTATACACTGTGCCCAGTTTGTAGTCTTTTATCCCTCACCCACCTCACACCATTTCCCCCAAGTCCCAAAGTCCGTCAGATCATTCGTATGCCTTTGCATCCTTATGGCTTAGCTCCTACTTATGAGTGAGAATATCTGATGTTTGGTTTTTCATTCCTGAGTTACTGCACTTAGAAGAATGATCTCCAATTCCATCCAGGTTGCTGCAAATGCCATTATTTCATTCCTTTTTATGGCTGACTAGTATTCCATGGTGTGCGATTCTTTGTCACAATTTCTTTATCCACTCATTTATTGATGGATATATTTTTAATATGTTGAGTGTGTCCCAGAAAACTCCCCCCATCCCATTGGCCATGAGAGCCATGCTGCCTTCTTGTTTCTGGGATCTGTGAGTAATAAATTGCTTCTGTTTTTTAATATGTTTTCTTGGGTTGCCTCCTCTGTGCCTCATATGACCAACACACTGAGACCTAAGTTCATTCCGAGTGAGGGGTCTCCTAGAGAGTGGTTATCTTGGTAGGAATAATCCAAATCCTGGTCAGACAGGAGTCACACAGGTATCTGCTAGCATAAACAAGTTTCCTGTGACAGTGAGACATGGTTACGGGTTGGACACTCAGGCATTAGGCCATCGACCAGGATAAACAAGAATCCCATGAAAGGTACACTGAAAACACCCAGAACCACCTCCGCTGAGCCCTGTCAGGGCAGTGTGAGAATTTACAGCCACTCTCCAGAGAAAGACCTTACGAACAAATAAGAAAGAATTTATATCACACATCCACAGACATGAACAAATTATATATTTGTACAGTTAGAATTTCAAGGAGAGGAGCAAGTACACTGGAAATCTGTATTTCTTAGAGAGGAACATAGATAAAATATAGGCAAACATAAAAAACATCAGATATAAAATAAAAGTAAAATTCTTACTACAAAGGTGCTCTGAAAATCAGAACATCTAAAGCCACTCTAAGAAAGCACTTGCAATTTAATATTGCTTCATAAACTGTGTATTGGTGAGCCAATCTGCTATTAACAGATGCTGGGTTGCCAAGAAGAGAGATTCTTCTGTATGTTTTATGGTGAAAGGATATTACATAAAGCAATGCTTTATGTCATCATTTCTGGATTGATTACTGATAACCACAAATTTTCCCAAGTCAAACTGTGACTCTTCTAGAGAGTTCACTAAGAAAATAACCAATAGTGCAGATGTTTGAAGGTTTTGTCAAAAGAAGTCAAGGGGTATTTTAGGTGTCTAGGACAAGAAAAGTCATTCAACAATTCATATGCCATAAATAGAAATACAGAAAGTCCCCATCTTATGGGGGTCTAACTTAACGATTTTTGACTTGATGATGGTGTGAAGGTGATACACATTCAGTAGAAACTGTACTTTGAATTTTATTATTATTTTTTATTATAAAGTTGACTTTGTTGTAGGTGATTTTCCCCAACTACAGGCAAACATAAATATTCCGAACATGTTTAAGGTAAGGTAGGCTAAGCTATGATATTTAATAGGTTAGACGTATTAAATGCATTTTCAACTTCACATTTTTCAACTTAAGACTGATTTGTCAGACCCTAACCTAATTGTAAGTTGAGGAGCATCTGTAGGTTGTTCAGTAAAACGATGCCTGTTCGTTTGTCTGTCTTTGTATATGTGGCCTCATAAAATGGAACAAAATGCTAGGGTCCTTTTAACAGGCTCCTCTGTTTGGTAGAAATCTAAAATTAGAGAATCCAGTGTTGACACGCTTGTAGGAAAATCCTGGGTGGATTACACTCATAAGCACGGATCTTGCAGCCCTGCTTTCTTTTATTGGACTTTAACACTAAGTCTGTCACCATGTTTCTATATAAATAAAAGTCATTACATAAAGTAATGTAGTACATGAATCAACTTGATGTTGTGCATTAAGTCTGTAGAATCATCATAGAGAGCTAAATTGATGAATGATTCTAAATCCACATTGAGTTAAATTGATTAATGACTCTAAATCCACCATCATGAAGTCAAAAAACAAATAGTAATATTAGAATATTAATATTCTAATATTAAGTGAATCATAGGCAAATCTACATGTACTGTTGGGATTCTTAAACGCAGCCCCTATAAAGTCGTTCTTTCCTGGCCGGGTTAGGTGGCTCACACCTGTAATCCCAGCACTTTGGGAGGCCAAGGCATACAGATCACCGGAGGTCAGGAGTTCGAGACCAGCATGGCTAACATGGCGAAACCCTGTCTCCACTAAAACTACAAAAATTCGCTAGGCATGGTGGCGGGCACCTGTAATCCCAGCTACTTGGGAGGCTGAGGCAGGAGAATCACTTAAACCCAGGAGGCAAAGGTTGCAGTAAGCCAGGATCGCATCACTGCACTCCAGACTGGGCGATAAAGTGAGACTCCATCTCAAAAACAAACAAACAATAACAACAACAACAAAAACAACCAAAAACCAAAACAAAAAAAAGTCATTATTTTCTTAAACACAGACCTAGCCAAATAAGTTGATAATGTCACATAATTTCCATGTATTTATTTTTCTGGCACTTACATAATAAGATCACCAATAGTTCAAAAATTTTATTAAATGTTAGTTTTATTTTAGAACAGTGCTTTTGAAAATGCATTTTCAAGGAATAATGGTTCCACAAGCTGTTAGTAAATATTAGGTAAAAATTGGGTTCTGAAAAACATAGAGGTTAACACAGTTAAAGAAGTCTTTTGCAGGACCTTGTAGAATTGAAAAATGCTAATGAGGGTAGTGCGATTCTCGGTAAGACAGAGTAAGCATACTCCTCCCACTCCCTGTTTCTCCTACTGAATGTAGTTACAGAACTAGGGCAGAATGCACAGAGCAGCTCTTAAAAAAAGTAGATAGTAGCAAATGAATTTTTAAAAAATCAGAATCAAAATACCACTAGAAAGGCTGTAGTGTACTGTGTTTCCCTCTATTATGTCTACTGGCCTGTACCCCACTCATCTGAAACCCACAAGTAGACTTCTGCATGGACAGAGAGTTCCAGGACAAGCTCTCTGGTTTACATTCAAGGAATGGGAAACGGGTCCCCACAACAGCGATGGCAGCAGAGACATGAAGACATCTAATATCCTTTCAGACGAGCTGTGGCTCTTTCTGGGGAGCTGCGGTATAAGTGATATAGTTTGTGTGTCGTCCCTGCCCAAATCTCATGTAGAAATATTATCCCCCATGTTGGAGGTGGAGCTGGCGGGGGATGACTGGAGCATGGGGGCAGATTTCTCCTTTGGTACTTTCCTCGGCATAGTGAGTGAGGTCTCGTGAGGTCTGGTTGTTTAAAAGTGTGTGGCACCCCACAATTCTTGCTCCTGCTCCCTCCATGTGAGATGCCTTCCTCCCTTTTTCCTATGATGGTAAGTTTTCCTGCAGCCTCCCCAAAAGCTGAGCAGATGCTGGCATCATGCTTCCTGTACAGCCTGCAGAACAGTGATCCAATTAAACTTCTTTAAATAAATTACCCAATCTCAGGTACTTCTTTATAGCAATGTGGGACCTGACTAATACAAGGACGTTGGGAATAAAACTCTACTTCTTTCTCTCCTTTTCTGTCCTCTGCCCCTTGGCTGCAGACATGAGTGCATTTCAGGAAAGTATACAGCAGAAGAAGAGAAATAAAGCTCCAGTTTTTGGCCCAAGGCTATAAAGGGGAACAAATGTACCAGGGACATTATGGAGCTCAAAAAAGTGACTCAGTAAAGTTGTTTATTGTGCTCACCCCGAGTTGCATACGCATAGCTCTAATTTCTCAGAAACTGTAAATTCTCAAAACTTACCTAAGACTAAATAGAAAACTTGTATAGTTCTATTACTATTAAATAAATTGAATTCATAGTTTGAAAACATCCTCAAAAGTAAAGCATCTGGCTAGATAGTTTCACTAGTGAAATCTACTGGATATTTAAATGAGAAATAGCATCAATTCCACTCAATTTCTTTCAGAACATAGAAGAGAAAAGAGCACATTCTAATTTATTTTATAAGGCTAGCAGTTCTCTGATAAAAGCATATAAAGACAATACAAGAAAACTTCAGGCCAATATATCTCATGAAAATAGATGTAAAAATACTCAACAAAATATTTTGAAATAAAATTCAGCAACATAAAAAGAAGGCTGTATCAGAAGTAAGTGCAGTTTGTTATGGATATGCAATACTGGTTCAACAACTGAAAATCAGTCAATGAACTCCATCACATTAACTGTCTAAAAAAAGATCAAATCAATTGATGTGGAAAAGGCATTTTAATAAAATGTGTAAAACTCTGAGCAAACTAGAACTAGAAGGAATTTTCTCAGCCTGATAAAAGTTATCTATAAGAATACCTATAGTTGGCACTATTCTTAATTATGAAACAATGAGTTCTTTCCTCCTAACATCAGGAATGAAACAATGATGTCCACCATTCTCACTACTCCATTTCACAATATTATTATAAACACTGGCGAGTTCAATAAGGCAAGAGAAATGAAAATTCTACAGACAGGAATGGAAGAAATAAAACTTTCTTTATGTACAAATTATATTATTGTCTGTAGAAAATCCCAAGGAATATACTAAAAAAGAAAAAAAACCCTCCTAGATATAATTGGACCAAGTAAGTAAGTTGTGAGTTTACCAAGGTCACAAGATACAAGATTATCACACGATAGAAATTTTACTTATATAGTATAACAAGAAACAACTGGAAACTGATATTTTAAAAAAGTGTCAGTTACAGGAACTCTTCCCAAGCAACATACTTAGGTATAAACATAATAAAACATGTACAGGATCCTTATATTAAGAACTATAATACACTGCTGAAAAATAGATCAATGAAAACTTCTAATAAGTAGAGAGAGAGACTGCTCAGGCATTCAAAGACTCAAATTAGAAAAAAATGTCAATTTTATTGAATTAGGTCTAGAGATTTATGGTAATTCCAATCAAAATTCCCACAATAATTTTTATAGATGTGGACAAGCTTGTTATAAACTTGATGTGGGAAAGGAAGCAGAATAGTCAGAAAAATTTTGAAAGCTCCAATAATTAAGAGTCTTGGGTATTGGTAAAGGGATTGACACTTAGATAAATTAATTACAATAGATATTTCAGGCATAGACTCATACAGACATGGTCAATTGATTTTTGACAACTGTGCAAAAGTAATTCAATGGAGAAAAGGTAATCTTTTCAACAAATGGTGCTCAAACAAATTGATGGCTTTGAGCAAAATAAATAAATAAATCTTGACATTCATCACATTTTATACAATAATTATTTCAGAAAAGATTATAGATTTAAATGTAAAAAAATATAAATATTCTAGTAGAATAGGAGAAAATTTTTATAACCTAAGAACAGGTCTCAGAATACTTACATGTGACAACAAAATCAAAATCCATTACATAAAATCTTGATAAATTGGACTTCATGGAAACGAAAAACTTTGCTCCATAAAAGATAAAATAAGAGAAACTAGTCTGGCACAAAATATTTGCAGTTTATCTGACAAAGCATTTATGTTCAGATTATATAAAGAATACTTAAAGTTCACAAGAAAACAATGATTTTTAAAATGAACAAAGAGGATATACAGAAGGCAAATAAGCACACAGAAAGATGTTCAGCATCTCTAGACAATTGGGAAATGAAAATTAAAATCATCATGAAATTCCACTACTCACCTATCAGAATATTCCAAAAAAGCAAAAAGAATCTTCTAGATATAATCAGGTCTGGTAAGTGATTTGTGAGTTTACCAAGCTACCAGCTCTTCATATTGCGAGTAGTTTATATTTTAGCCATTTTAAATTTAAAATAAAAAATAAACTTTGAAATAAAAATGCAACTCGCAATATGAAGAGCTAGCAAAGAGGGGATGAAACTGGAATTATCGTATGTTGGTGGTGGGAATGAAATGTGACACAGCCACTCTAGAAAACAGTTTGCGGTTTACCTAACATTAAACCCACACTTACCCTATTACCTAGAAATCCAATTCCTACATATTTGTCCTAGAAAAATGAAAAGTTACATGCACACAAAATCTATCTGTTAATGTTTATACCAGTTTACTCTATGATCTTTGAACTGAAAATGATATAAATGTCCCCCAGTGGGTAAACAGAAAAACAAATTATGGTATGCCCATACCATGGAATCAGCAATAAAAATAATAAACTATTAAAGCACACAGCAGCATGGGTGAATCTCAAAGTCTTTATACTGAGTGAAAAAAAGCCAGTTTCTGAAGGTTACATACTATATGATTCTATACAACTTCATTTATATGGTGTTCTGGAAAATATGAAATTGTAGTAATAGAGAAGATACCAGGTTTCCAGGCTTTGGAGGTGTAGGGAGCATTTGTTTTTAAGCATAGGGGCTAGGAGAGAAGGCCCTGGAGCAAAACTTCTTGGGTCAAATCCCATCTTGTTCACTTCTGAGCTGTTTCGCCTCGGGACAGTGACCTAAACTTCTTGGTACCTCTGTTTTTCCAGTTGTAAAATGCGGGTGATACAGCATCTACTTTAGAAGATTGTTGTTGAAATGTAAATTGATTAAATCAACGTGGTTTTTAGAGTGTCAAGGAATTAATGTGTGTCTTGACTGGGATGGGATGGTGGTTATAAGACTCCATACGTTAGTTAAAATTCATAGACTTGTACCAAAAATGTGTTTTCTGTGTTAATTAAAAAATAAAATTAAAGTAAATGCTGATGTAGATTACAAACCTCTAAGATGGATATGTTGAGCAAAATTGCTGTACAAGCTTATTTAATGGTTAATTTTTTTTATTTTTGCTGTTTTTGGCTTCATATACTACTGATTAGCACAAAGACTTTTGGCAATACTCCAAGAAAATATTGCAAACTCTTATGAATAGAACGTTTTGAGAACCAATGAGTTAATTTAAAATACATGGAAAATAAAATGACTCCGAAGAATAATTTCAAAATTGTTGGCATTATTGTAGGTAAGTTGTCATAATCTCACTTGAAATGTGTTCACAAGCTGTCAGATAACTTGATCATTCATTATTTGAGGTGAGTAAGGGTTTAAGCGGAATTCAGCATTTGTTCAGGCCTTAGTTTTACTGCCCATAAATAACAGAAAGACAATTTGGAAAAGAGAGGCCATAAGTGAGAAATAAATCTCACGTTGGCTTCATGTCTAGGACTAATGAAGGAAAAGGCGGTAGGCCAAAATCAACAATAATTCAAAAGGGGCAAATGTATATCTTTTAATTGATTTTATTCCTAAGTTCATGATCCCCAAATCTGAGAGCCTGTGACCAAAATCGGGGTTTGTCAAGTCCATGGCAGAGGTGACACCTTGCGTACTTGATACATCAAAAACCCAGGTAGGAAATAAATCACACCCTCCCCCACCCCCACCCCCAACACACACAAGAAGTTATTTCTAGACAGTAACGTTGGCCTAATATAGCACCAGCATTGGCCTAATGTATGCTGTGTTTTACCAGCATATTGGCCCAAGATCACAATTCACAATTCAAGACTGATTCCACTTTTCTTTTATAAAATGAGTCATTGTATAAGAAGGCATGTGGATAACTACACAGCTTTTCTTCATGCTCTCCAATGATTAATTACTTCTCTACAGAGAAAAAAATTATAACAAGCCGTGCCAACTAGTTGCATTTCCAAACTCAATTAATTTACTTGGCTTTCATTTTTTAAGAAATCACTCCTTCCTAATAATCTCTAATAATCTCCTAAGACTTGCATGTGTTTAGGGAAATATAATAAAACATAAGGTGCATTTGAAAGAGTAGGATTGCAGTTAGGAACCATAAAGGTGGTTCTGTGAAAGATATTTTGAGCATATTTTAACGAGAAAATTAAATATTATGACATTGTTATTACTCTTTTTATTTTCTTAGTTTATGGGAAAATTCTAAATATTTTACAAAATTTATCACACACAGTACTTTATGTTTCCCTCTTTTCTAGTTTTCCACAGGCTCTTCCTTTTATATAGACATTGCATAAAAGCAGGCCTCAAGTGGAGTCAGGAAAGTTAAATTTGAATCCGGTTCCATCACTGGTATGTGTGCTTGGCAGAGGTGCTTTACCCTTTCGAAACTTCAGCTTCCTTACTTATAAAGTGGAAACAATCCCTGTCGTGTCTACATGAGCAAGTTATTGTGAGAACTGAATGAAATTACAGCAACTTGGGAAACTGAGAGACTATGAAAATATTGATTCATATCATTATCATGATAACCCTCTTTTGCATATTCCTCACCTATTCATGCCTGTCAAAGTCCTTCCTTAATCTTGGTATTTGTGTTGCTTCTTGAAGGGTTTGTACTAACAGAATAATGTGTGGATGTGAGTGCATAAGATATCACAGCATCTACTACAGCGCTCTGTACATCACTGGTACTCTGTACATCAATAAATGTTCATTGACTGAAACCCATACCTTTAGTGCAAGGGTAGGGAAGTGGGAGATGGGTATGTCCATTCCTTGCTCAAAGCCTTCATTGGTTTTTCATCACTCAGCGTAGGAGGTCCTGGAGCAAGACCACTTGCATCAGAACCCAAGTTGCTCATTTCTTAGCTGTGTAATCAAGTGACCTAAACTCTTCTCTTCTGTGTGTTGAGCTGTACAATGAGGATGATATAAAGATCTAATACAAAGGCATGTTGTGAAGTTTAAAGCTTGCCAAGTACTTAAAACACTACCAGGCATGTATTAAGGCTTAATAAGCATTTATTGCTGTTGTTATGTGGACATGGATGAAAATCTATGGTAGAATTTTGCATGATTTGACCACCACTTATCTTTTCTTGGCTATTCTGTAACTCCGTCCACTACTGTACCTCTTCCACACATACTTTTTAGTACGGCCATACCTGCTTTTGCTAAATTCTTGTATCATGAAACGTTGACCACTTTATTCTACCTAAATGAATTTATACTTGTTTTCTCATCTACCTGAAGTAGTATTTCCACTTCATAATTCCTACCTATCTTTCAGAGCTCAGGAAAATATTACTTCCTGGAGTATGTCTTTCCTAATGTACAAGAATGGGTCAAATATTCCTGTTAATCACAAATATAACTGCCTATACTTCTTTGTTGAGAGCATTTAATTACAATCATTATGAAATAATAAATTTTGCATTTCATCATTTATTGACTCATAAAATTCTGTCTTGTTTACTTTTGTATCCCCAGCACTTAGTACAGTGTCCAATAAATAATGGTGGAATACACAAGTACAAGAATAAGTAATCAAACCATTTGGTAACCTCAAAGTCTCAACTTTAATTGATAAAACTGGCACTTTTCAAAATGTCAAAGAGCCATGGTTTAGAGTACATTTAATTGCAAATTAATATACAGTTAAGTTGAGATAAGACATCTCAATTTGGTATACATGAAAGAGGTAATACATGAAAAAGTACTTCTTTTTACCTATTTAGTACTATATGAGTTTAAAACATTGTGGTTATTATTATCTATTCAATTTACTTTGGACAAAAAAAGTCCACGATTTGTAAATTTTTTCATGTAATGCATGCTGTCCCAGAAATTATGGCTTGAAAACAGCTACCTTAAGTCTGCCCTAAAAAGGTCTAATTTTAAAAAATGAACAGATTGTTCAGAATTTTTTTATGGCACATTTTGGAGAAAGTATACTGAATAATAATTAAATAATCTGCCTCTAGTCTAAATTAGACTTGACTAAACTGATGAAGCTCCCATTCACGGCAGAGATTTGAACAGATTTTCATTAACATCTGGTATTTCCCAACTCACTTTTCTCATTATTAAAGCCAATAAATGGCTTGGGTTGAGATTATTCTCAAAGGGTCTTCAGGAGAGACCTGATCAGATGTGCTTATTACTTTGCTTTCCAAATGTAGCCCAAATATCCTTTGGTAATCAATGCATGGCTAACATTCTAGAACCTATTAAGAACAAAGAATTTGAAATCTGCCAAGCTCTAAGCTTCACTCCTAGTGGAAACTGTTCATTAATTTGCTAAGAAACCTTTTATGTAAGGGACCTATTAAAATATTTATCCCTGCTTGAAATTTAGTTCAAGTAAAAAGTTTGCCTTTGTAGATAAACATGTATTTACAAATTCTCTAATTAACCATGAGTTCTGTGTAACGGACTTATTCTAATTTTCCAAAAACGTCTATGTGTCTACGATTTCTTGGGATTTTTGTTTTATGATCAATGTAATTTGATTACCCTGTGTAATATGCCATCAAATCATGTAAGGGTCCTCAAAATCAAGTAGGCATATGCAAATTCTAAACTACAAACAAACAAAGAATCTGATATTAACTCTGTACAATGCCTTTTCTTACATAGTTAAGAATTACAAATTGCAGACATTTCTCAAGGTCATTTGATGCTTATAAAATTTTAAGGGATCAGATAAGTTAATTTCCTTTTCTCTTATGTACTAGCCACTTAGAAATATATATATCAGGATTTTTTCTGAAGCATCAAGAAATGGACATTGATAACTGATCAGCTCTGAACTCTTTAGCATGTTTTTTTCCTTTTCTTCCTTTACATTGACTTACCCTCAAGGGCATGTCCCATTTCCACCTTGGATGGTATGCAACCAACCAACCAACCATGAAGCAAATGACACTGCAAAGCCAGGTAGACACCCGCTGCGGGTGGAGAAATGATCTTTCTTTTCCCTCTGCATTTCTTGCTAATTAAGAAAATGGGTGATTAATGATTTTTCCCCTTTGCTTGTCTTATGAATTAAAGAGAAAAGGGACGGTATCATGGAGGAAGAGAAAGACAAAGTGATTTAGTCAGTCAGTGGTGGGTTTGAATTCTAACTGCTTCATTAACTACCCTGAAGTTGAAGGAGTTATATAATGTTTCTGTGCGTCAAACTAGATCGGCAGAATTAATAAATAACCATGTAATAAGCCCACTAGCCACAGCTGGTGGAGGGGGAAAATGTGGGAAGTTCTTTTCTTCACCTGTGTAACTTTCCTCATAGGCTCCTCCCAGGACAGTGCCCTCCTTGGGCCCCCTGGATGGCTGGAGTTTTCCCTTGTAATCTTGCTTCCTCCCTCACCTGCCTCCTGAGGCTGGCTCCACAGGTGGCAGGAGCATCCATTCTCTCTACACATGGCCCTCTGTTAGTTAAACTGACGAACTCATTCTTGGTGTGGTACTGACGGCTGCCAAAAGCTTCCTAAAATACACCTTCTAAGTAACACGTCCATTTGAATAGGAAGTTTAGCAGATGAAGTGGGGATTTTGGAACGTGGGTCCTTTATGGTTTCACTGTGGCAACATTTACCAAAGGATTTTTGAAATTGACTACTTGGATGTAACAAGGAAAAAAAATGATCACATGCATTGTGGAGAGACTGTGTTAAACAAAATTAAGCAGATTCGTTGACTGTCATCCTGCTTAGAGGCCTTAAGAGGCAATGTGCACTGTAACAAGGAGTGTACAGTGATCACACTGAAAATCATTCATTTCACAATTATTTATTGAGCACCTGCTATGTACTGGGCACTGTTCTAGGTGCTGATGGTAATAGTACTGAATAAGTCAAGATCGTTGTTCTCATGGACTTGACAGTTCAAGGCTTGAGCTTATGGTGGTGGTAGTTAGAGGAGGAGGCAGCAGAAAATAAAAGATGCAAGTAAACAAATACATAAAACGAATACTTTGGGATCATGTGAAGTGTTGAGAAGAAAAAAACATACAGTGATCTGGTAGATACGGAAACCTCTCTGAATGAGAAGAAAAGGGTCCTACAAAGCTCTGAGAAAGGAGAATTCCAGATGAGGTAAGAGAACATGAGAAAAGCCCAGGTGGGAATGAGCTTGGCATGTCCACCCTCAGATAACACTCACTGTGGAAATCTCTTTCCCCGAACTTTGTAAAAGGATCATGTTCCACAGAACGTATTTTGAGAAAAAGTGCCCTATAGCCTAGGCATCCCCATACTGTTATAAGCCCTTCTCTTCTCCCTTGTATCATCTGTGAAGTGGGCTCTAATACCTATCTTACATGTTATACGATTTAAAAAAACAACCAGGCAAGAGTGTAATGGCACAATCGCAGCAATTGCAGCCTTTGCATCCTGGGCTCCAGCAATCTTCCCACTTTTGCATTCCAGCCTGGGTGACAGAGCGAGACCCTGTCTCAAAAAAATAAAATGAAATCAGAAACAAATAGAAAGTCTGGTACATGCAGATACTCAGTTGCTGTCAATTTCTTTTTACTCTCTTACACTGAAAATCACTTAAGAAGATATGTTAAGACTTAGTAAATGTTTGCACTATCAACAGTCTTTTCTACTAAGTATTATCCCTCATTTGTTCATGCTGTCATTACTTAATCTTATTATTAATAAAATCTGATTTCATACTGGCAATATCAGAGACAGAAAAACACTTGTAAAAGTTATAAAATGCACATGTATGTTTATTTTATTAATAAAATATAAACTCTTTCTTCCCCACCAAATGGTGTTCTCAGAAGCTTACTACTGGGTTCAAGTAAAAACCTAGAGTAGTTATATGTGTCTTTTCTCCTGAAAATGGATTTTAATCATAAAGACAGGTATTAGTAAATACAGAGTATGTCAATACATACATGAAATTATAGAAGATTATTGGTCTATTAATTCCACAGAAATAAATATAAGCCTATATTATCTAAATTGAATTGAGTCTTTTGTCATATATATGTTAATTTTTCAGTTTGTTCAAGAGGAAAATATTAGGTGAATTTTTTTAGTGACTCATTTGCCACAATGTCAGAGGAAAAATAGAAGTACAGTAGATTTTAAACATGAACAGAAAATTATCTGTCAAAACAAATACCTTCATATGACTTACAAAGAACCCATTTAAAGGAATTATAAAGATTTCTGTCTAAAAAAATTTAGTCTTAAATGTACAGTATTAACATGTTTCACACCTCTTATTTCTATTAGTATAGGCAAAACTTATATGTAAAATAAGATTATGCTTAAGTAATTTGTTTCCATCCTCACTGCTACAGAATTCATGTGGGGATTTTTGACAGGCAAATTATTCAAGTACAGGATAAATGAGCAAAATGGAAACTGAAAGGCTAGTGTAATAAAGGGAATTTAAAAATGACTAAAGTTTTCAAAAACTGAAAGAATACATGTTGATCATTCAAAAGCAAAACTGGGCCAGATGCGGTGGCTCACACCTGTAATCTCAGAACTTTGGAGGGCAGAGACGGGCAGACCACTTGAGGTCGGGAGTTTGAGACCAGCCTGGCCAATCTGGCAAAACCCCATCTCTAGTAAAACTACAAAAAATTAGCTGGGCGTGGTGGTGTTTGCCTGTAATCCTGGCTACTCGGGAGCCTGAGGCAGGAGAATCGCTTGAACCTGTATGGTGGAGGTTGCAGTGCACTGAGATCGTGCCACTGCACTCCAGCATGGGCAACATAATGAGACCGTCTCAAAAAAAAAAAAAAAAAAAAAAAGAAAGAAACATATAAACAAAAACCCAAAAAACAAAACTGAACATGAAGGTAGAAAAGGACAGCTCTTCCACTGTCCCCAGCCTTTGCAGGTTTAGTCATTATTAAGAGCTTCTTTTGAATGCTTCAAAATATTTGCCATACAAGTCAGCTTATTATTTTTTTTTACACGAATGAGTATAATGGGTATACTATTTAAATATAATATAACAGTCCTTTAAAAATTTTGTTTTATTTTAGATTCCGGAAATACATATGCAGGTTTGTTGCATGGATATATTGCAAAATGGTGGGGTTTGGGTTTCTGTGTACCTATCAGCCAGACAGTGAACATTGTATGCAATAGGTAATTTTTCAACCCTCATCCCCCTCTCCACATCTCCCCTTCTGGAGTTCCCAGGGTCTATTATTTCCATCTTCATGTTCATAAACATAATCATCTTCATCATGCTTTTTTACTTTTCAATTTATTTTGGAAAACATTTCTATCAGACACAGAGCGGAGCTTGTCTAGTTAATGATACCTGGTTTTCTATTTGATGGATTTCCCACAATGTGTTTAGCTAATCTCCAATTAAATTGTGAGCATTTAATAATTTCTGTTACTTTGCTTTTATGAACAATGCTTTTCTAACATTATATATACATGTCTTGACACATTGTTTGCTGGTTGCTTTTTGTCTCTAGCAACTGCCCAGCTTTATGTAGGACTAGGCTACTTGTTCTGTAAGAGAAGCGGCTAGAACACATCTTGTTTTAGTTCCTTCCAGCTGCTAAAACGAAATACCATAGACTAGGTGGCTTATATACAACACAAATTAATTTCTTACAGTTCTGAAGGCTGGGAAGTCTAAGATCAAGATGTTGGCATATATGGTGTCTGGTAAGGGCCTGTTTTCTGGTTCGTAGAATTTTGTCATATTCTGGCTTAAAATGTACCAATAGTTTCCATGACCCTTGGAGTAAAAGCACACTTCTGTATGGCAATTCCTCAAGGATCTAGAACCAAAAATACCATTTGACCCAGCAATCCCATTACTGGGTATATACCCAAAGGATTATAAATTATTCTACTATAAAGACACATGCACACAGATGTTTATTGCAGCACTATTTACAATAGCAAAGACTTGGAACCAAACCGAATGCCCATCAGTGATAGACTGGATAAAGAAAATGTGGCACATACACACCATGGAATACTATGCAGACATAAAAAAGGATGAGTTCATGTCCTTTGCAGGGACATGGATGAAGCTGGAAACCATCATCCTCAGCAGACTAACACAGGAACAGAAAACCAAACACTGCATGTTCTCACTCATAAGTGGGATTCAGCAATGAGAACACATGGTCACAGGGAGGGGAACATCACACACTGGGGCCTGTCAGGGGGCAGGGGAAGGGGAGGCATAGCATTAGGACAAATACCTAATGCATGTGGGGCTTAAAACCTAGATGACAGGTTGATAGGTGCAGCAAACCACCATGGCACATGTATACCTATCTAACAAACCTGCACGTTCTGCACATGTATCCCAGAACTTAAAGTAAAATTTTAAAAAATAAAAAATAAAAGCATACTTCTTACCATTGCTTACAAAGGCCAGTGGAATCTACCTACTGCCTACCTCTAAAGTCATCATTGCCATTCGTCGTTTCCTTAGGTCCCAGTCACGTGGCCCTCCATGGGCTCGTCCAACACACTAAACTCATCACACTCGCTTGCTGTTTTTTCTACCTGTAACTTTCAGCTCCCAGATCTTGTTATGACTGACCTCTCCTTACAATTCAGGTCTCTGCTTTAATATCACCGCATAACCGAGATTTCAACCTAAAAGAGCTACCCATCACCTTCGGTGCCACACTACTTCGGTGCTACTCACTGCATTTCTAATGATGGCCTTTACCTTAAAGTTTATCTTGCCCTACATTAATATCGCTATATCGTATTTATTTTGATGAGAACCTGCATAGTTTACCATTTTTCCATTCCATTATATTTTACCTTCTACGTTATTGTGTTTAGGTTTTCTTCTTGAAAGCAAAATATCACAAAGTGGATTTAGTTTTCTCCAGTTTAAATGATGAAAATAATTAAATTGCACTTATTGTGATTATTGACATATTTGTATTTATTTCTTCCAACTTACATTCTATTGTATATAATCATGTTTCTTTCCTTTATTCTTGCTTCTTTATTGTGTTCTGCTGAATAAAATTTTTCTACATGTACATTTGTCTCATCTGCTGACTTTGAAGTTATATATTCTTTTCGTTTAGTAATTTCTGTTAATTTAACTAATGTTTAATTAGTCACAGAAGTTATTATTGCAAATCTATAATTATTTGGTGTTTTGATCCCTCTCCTAAACATAAAAAGGATGTTAGGATGCAATTCCACACTTAAAGTCCTCATGTATATTGCTTCCTAGAATTTTAGTCTTATCCAAAAAAAATATGTAATTAGTTTTACTATCAGCTGTCAATTACAATTTCAACATAATTTTATCAACATTTTCACTTATTGATGTTATTTTAGTCTCATGCTATCTCTCTGAGCTTATATTATTTTTAAAAATTTGAAGGAGGATCTACATTCGCCTTTTCATATTTGAAATGTCTTTATTTTGCCTGTGCTCTGGAATGACCATTTAGAAGAATATAATATTGTGTTCATTGTCTTAGCACTCTTAAGATACTCTATTTTTTTTTTAGTTTTTAATCATTGCCATAGAGAAGTCAGTTTCAGGCTAATTTGCAACCATTTATAGGTAATCTATCTTTTGTTTCTGGTAAATTTCAGGAATTAAAAACTTTGATGGTTTGCAGTTTTACAAGGTTATGCCTAAATCCGCATTTATATTTATATGCTACTAAGTCCTAAAGAAACATTTGATCTGAGAACCATGCGTTTTTTTTAAATTCTGGAAAACTCTCAACTCTATTCTTGTCAAGTATAGCCTTCTCTGCCATTCCTCTCGTTTTCATCTGAAACTCTGATTGAACATAGACTGTAGCCATTCAAACTTTTACTCATATATCTTAATTGTACTTTTCATATTTTTTACCTCTTTATGAATTGATTTTTGAATATATATGTCATTGCTGTGCTTCTTCTCGCTTCAATCGGTTCTGGTTTAGAGTTTATCTCTTATGTAGTACTTTAATTCAATGATTGTTATTCATATTCAAGATTTCTACATGTTCTTATAACCATTTCTTAGTTATTTCTTTGCTATACGCTTATTTTTTTTATTTTTTATTTTTTTTTGAGACAGAGTCTCGCTCTGTCGCCCAGGCTAGAGTGCAGTGGCACCATCTCAGCTCATTGCAACCTCTGCCTCCTGGGTTCAAGTGCTTCTCCTGCCTCAGCCTCCCGAGTAGCTGGGACTACAGGCGCCCACCATCACGCCCAGCTAATTTTTGTATTTTCAGTAGAGACAGGGTTTCACCACGTTGCCAGGCTGGTCTCAAACTCCTGACCTCAGGTGATCCACTCACCTCAGCCTCCCAAAGCACTGGGATTACAGGCATGAGCCACCGCACCCGGCCTATATGCTGACATTTTAAAAGATTTTACTTTTATTGTATTGAGCCTCCTATATATATTTATTTTAATATCTTTATCACTCTGCTCCATAAATTATTTTTAGCTGAACTGATTTCATCTTCTAATTTTCAAATCTGTTCTCTATCTTTATTAGCTTTCAATTATTTAATGTTTTCAAGCTTTAGTTTGTGAATGAACTTTGCGTGTTAATTTTCTTTGCTTCTTTCTCGCTGTCTGCCTGGTTTTAATTTTGTTTTTGTTTTTTTTTGAGATGGAGTCTCGCTCTGTGGCCCAGGCTGGAGTGCAGTGGCTCGATCTCGGCTCACTGCAACCCCCTCCTCCCGGGTTCAAGCGACTCTCCTGCCTCAGCCTCCCAAATAGCTGGGACTACAGGTGCGTGCCATCACGTGTGGCTAATTTTGAGTATTTTTAGTAGAGACAGGGTTTCACTGTGTTTAGCCAAGATGGTCTCGATTACCTGACCTCATGATCTGCCCACCTCGGCCTCCCAAAGTGCTAGGATTACAGGTGTGAGCCACTGTGCCCGGCCTGGTTTTAGTTTTGTATGTGTCTCCACATTGTGTACTATTCTCATTGATTCTGAGGCGAGAGTCACATGTTATAATGACCACCTATGGCTCTGAGTTTATCATAGATCTTGTCACCAAGCTCAGCTGACTTGGCTCAGTTCCTGCTCAATATGGCATGTCTTTGTCTTTCAACTTCTCTAGGTCCACACTTTTCTATAAACTCATTATGCATTAATTGGCTTGGGCAGCTGTAACAAAGTGCCACAAACTGAGGTGGGTTAAACAGAAGAATTTGACTGTCTCACAACTGCATAGTCTAGAAGTTAGAGAGCAAGGTGTTGGCAGAGTTTGGTCTTTTTGAGGGGTGTTGGGAAAAAATCTGTTGAATTCCTCTCTCCTAGCTTCTGGAGGGTTGCTGGTCATCTTTGGTTTCTTTGGATGATAGAATATCACCATAAATCACTGCCTTCATCTGCACATGGCATTCCTTCTGTGAGTGTGTCTCTAAATTTTCCCTTTCTATACAGACACCTGCCATATTGGATGAAGCCCCACCCAAATGACCTAATTTTAATGTGAGTACCTCTGTAAAGACTTCATCTTCAAAGCGGGTCACATTCTCAAACTTCGACATACGAGTTTTGGGAGGATGCAATTTAATCCATAACATATAGCTACAGTAAATTGCCTTGAAGGCATCTCCTATTTTTCTCAACTTTCCTATGTTGTTGAGTTCAAACAGTAAACTTAGCTTGAGACACTCATCTCAAGTGAGGCACTTTGGTTGTCTTTGACTCACAGAAGCTGATTCTCTGTTCAAAGTTGAGCAAATGCTTAGCTTCAGATCATCTTGTTATTTATTTTTGATTGTCCTTTACATTTTTATCTGCTATTTTATATGTTTGCTGTGAAGAAGATATATTGAAGTGTGAACCAATACCCAGGTTGACATATTTCTAGTTTCATTGCAGTAAAAATACTAAATGAAGGCCGGGCATGGTGGCTCACACCTGTAATCCCAGCACTTTGGGAGGCCAAGGTGGGCAGATCACGAGGTCAGAAGTTCGAGACAAGCCTGTCCAATATGGTGAAAACCCATCTCTACTGAAAAACACAAAAATTAGCCAGGCATGGTGGTGCCCACCTGTAGTCCCAGCTACTTGGCAGGCTGAGACGGGAGAATCACTTGAATCCGGGAGGCACAGGTTGCAGTGAGCCAAGATCATGCCACTGTACTCCAGCCTGGGTGACAGAGTGAGACTCCGTCTCAAAAAAAACAAAAACAAAAAACTAAATTAATTATATTTTGGAACTAAACTTTACAAGAAGCACATACAATCAAGATAACTCTGGAAAAATAAAAATAATTGAGGAATGGGGCTAACTAGAACTGAAGAATGTTAAAATGTATTTCCAAACCTAGTTATTAAAATAATATGGTATTGGCAAAAGAGATCACTAAAACGAAGTACAAAGCTCAAAAATAGATAAATGTCCATGAAAGTATTTTGGAGATATTCTTGGGTTGCAATTAAAATTAGAAGAACAAATATGGATTACTCAATAAATGGATATATTTGGTCAACTACATGGAAAACTAAAGTTATAACTCCACATTATATGACTCAACACAATAATAATCAAATATTAAAAATAAGTAAAATTACTTGAAAATATTGTTTAATATTAATTAGAACATGAGTGTAAGAGATAATTATTAAAGGAATAATAAAGAGAAGGAAGTCATAAAGACAAAAGAAAACATACTATAACATGTCCCATAAGTAAAAGGTAAATAATAAATTAGCAAACTCCAAATATACGAAAAACACCTGCTGAATCCTAAGAATGAGACCCATGCACCCAATGAAAATATCAAAAATACTACAGAGCAAAACAAGATGGAGGAAATACAGTTTCATATAGACCAAGAACACTCATACATTTGATGATAGAAGTTAAATTGAAACCGTTATTTTGGGGGTACTTTTACAACATGAAGCAACATACTTATACCCTTTAAACCTCTATATTCTGTGATTTACACTGACAAAAATCAAATACAGGCATTTCTCCAAAATATTGCAGGTCTGGTTCCAGATAGCTCCAATAAAGCTAATATTGCAATAAAGCAAGTCATACATATTTTTGGTTTCCCAGTACATATAAACTTATGTTTACACTATACTGTAGATTATTAAGTGAGCAATAGCATTATGTCTAAAAAAATTTACATATCTTAATTTAAAAATACTTTATTGCTAAAAATTGCTCATGATCATCTAAGCCTTTAGTGAGTCATGATCTTTCTGCTGATGGAAGATCTTGACTCAGTGTTGATGGCTGCTGACTGATCAAGATGGTGGCTACTGAAGGTTGGGGTGGCTGTGGCAATTTCTTGAAATAAGACAACAATGAAATTTGCCATACTGATTGATTCTTCCTTTCCTGAAAGACTTCTCTATGCCATGTCATGCTGTTAGTTAGCATTTTATTGACAACAGAACTTTAAAAATCGGAGTGAATTCTCTCAAACCTTGTCACTGCTTTATCAAGCAAGTTTATGGAATATACTAAATCCTTTGTTATCATCTCAACAATATTCACAGTATCTTTACTAGGAGTAGATTCTATCTCAAGTAATCATTTTCTTGGTTACTGTTAAGAAGCAACTTCTCATCTGTGAAAGTACTGTCACGAGAGTACAGCAATTCCGTCACATCTTCAGGCTCCACTTATCATTCTAGCTCTCTTGCTCTTTTTACTATAGCTGCAGTGACTTCATCCACTAAAGTCTTGGACCCCTCAAAGTCATGCATGAGGACTGGAATGAATTTCTTCCAAACACCTATTTATGTTGATATTTTGACCCCTTCCCATAAATCACGAATATTCTTAATGACGTCTAGAACAGTGACACCTTTAAAGAAAATTTATTTTGTCCACACTCACCAGAGGAATCACTATCTATGACAGTTACAGCCTTACAAAATGTATTTCTTAAATAAAAATACTTGAACATTGAAATTACTCCCTGATCCATGAGCTGCACAATGGATGTTGTGTTAGCAGGCATGAAAGCATGAATCCCCTTGCACATCTCTTATCAGAACTCTTGGATGACTAAGGGCATTTTCAATGAGCAGTGATATTTTTAAATAAATTTTTTTCTTTTAGTTCTCAACAATGGGCTTAAAATATTCAGTAAATCATGCTGTAAACAGATGTTCTGTCATCCAGGTCTTGTTATTCCATTTCTAGAGAACAGACAGAGTAGATTTAGGATAATTCTTAAGGGCCCTGGGGTTTTCAGAATGGTAAATGAGCATTGGCTACAATTGAAAGTCACCAGTTCCATTGGCTCCTAACAAGAGTCAGCCTGTCTTTGAAGCTTTGAAGCTAGATACTGACATCTCTTCTGAAAGTCCTAGAAGGTATTTTCTTCCAATAGCAGACTGTTTCATCTACATGGAATATCTGTTATTTAGTGTAGCCACCCTCGTCAATTATCCTAGCTAGATTTTCTGGATAACTTCCTACAGCTTCTACAATAGCACTTGCTGCTTCACGTTGCAGTTTTATGTTACAAAGATAACTTCTTTCCTTAAACTTCATGAACCAGCCTCTACTAGCTTCTGATTTTTCTTCTGTAGCTTTCCCACCTCTCTCAGCCTTCATAGAATTGAGAAGATGTAGAGCTTTGCTCTGGATTAGGTTTTGGCTTAAAGGAATGCTGTGTTAGTTTGATCTTGTATCCAGACCACTAAAACTTTCTCCATATCAACAATATGACTGCTTCCTTGGGAGGCTGAGCTGGGTGGATCACAAGATCAAGAGATAGAGACCATCCTGGACAACATGGTGAAACCCTGTCTCTACTAAAAATGCAAAAATTAGCTAGGCGTGGTGGTGCGCGCCTGTAGCCCCAGCTACTTGGGAGGCTGAGGCAGGAGAATCGCTTAAACCCGAGGCGGAGGTTGCAGTGAGCCGAGATCGTGCCACTGCACTCTGGTCCGGTGACAGAGTGAGACTTTGTCTACAAAAAAGAAAAAAACAAAAAAAAAAAACACAAAAAAACAAAAAACTGCTTCCTTATCATTCAGATGTTCACTGGAGTAACACTTCTAATTTTCTTCAAGAACTTTTCTTTTGCATTTATAATTTGTCTAACTGCTGCAAGAGGCCTAGCTTTCGGTCTGTCTCAGCTTTCAACATGCTTTCCTCACTAAGCTTAATCTTTTCTAGCTTTTGATTTCATATGAGAGACGTGTGACTCTTCCTTTCACTTGACAGCACTTAGAAGCCAATATAAGGTTATTAACTGGCCTAATTTCAGTATTGTTGTGTCTTAGGGAACACAGAGGCCCTAGGAGAAGGAGAGAGATCCAAGAATGGCTGGTCAGTGGAGCAGGCTGAACACACACAGCATTTATCGATTAAATTTGCCATCTTTTATGGGTGCTGTTTGTGGCACCTCAAAATAATTACAATAATAACCTTAAAGATCCCTAATCACAGATCACCAAAACAGACATAATAATAACGGAAAACCTTGAAATATTACGCGAATTATCAAAATGTGAAACAGGGACATTGATATGCTGTTGGAAAAATGCTACTGAGAGTCTTGCTTGATAGAGTGTTGCTACAAATGTTCACTTTGTAAAAAATGCAGTAGCTGCAAAGCTCAATAAAGTGAAGCAGAATAACATGAGGTCTGCCTGTATATGCATACAGATTATTGCACAAGATTATTCCTCAAGTATTAAACATAACAACATATTTATAAATAGTTGAAATGTGATATATGTAACTTACTGAATAACTTATGACACATCCATGAGATATTACAATTAAATTAAAAATCATGTAGGAAACCAACACGTTATCAGCGATCACCCCTGGGTAATAGAAATATGTGTGATTTTTAATTTTTATTTTATTTTTGTACTTTTAGCAACTTTCTGCATATAAAATATATTTTTTTGTAATGAGAAGAAAACAATACTTTAAGTAAATACTGTCAGATTTAAAAAATTGCACCCACTTTCTTGTGTTATTGTGAAGAAAAATTTTTTTTTTATTGTTGGGTTGAGATAGAGAACAGCTAATTACTATTTTTGTGCAAAACATCATGTATATATTACAGCCTTCAGGTATTTTAGGTTTGTTTCCACACTTCCTTCAACTTTCTTATTTTTTGAATACATTTACCAGTTCTTTCAGCATTTTACCTTCTGTCTTATTTTCAAGTCTTTCTGATCACTCTGGACTTTTTGCTAAAGTTTCTGACCTCCTAGGCAATCAAAAGTCTTTATTACAGAAGCAGGCAAAATATAACACGTGAAAAACTGTCAACATGAAAAGCTGGAAATCTGTTCCAAAGAAATGCCATAATGGAGAGTCACTGGTTAATGGCAAGAATCAATGTGTCCTCTAGCACTCTTGTGTGGGCAAGCCATCCTGTGCTGATGTCTCCTGGCAACAAATAGGACTCTTGTGAGTAGAAAGAGTTAATGTAGCTTCCCAAAGCACCTAATTTATTTCCAGGGACTGTTTTATGCACTCAGAGAATTTGGCTCACCATAATACAATCCCTTTGCTAACAGTACCAAGAATAAAAGAAACCCTAATTTATCTTTTTTTATAGTTTACTTCTGTAATTATTTCTTTTTCTACAAACAGCTCGCAAAAGAAGTGAGTTCAGTGAAGAAATTCTCATTTTTGGAGGTTTTGAGGATTGTCAGCTTGGGCATGTTTATAGACTGTTATGTGAATGCAGCTTTTGGTAAACAAACACTTCTGGGAGCCTAGGAACGTAAGTGATGTTGTCGGTACATACAAAACGGGCTAATTTGTTTCAAAAAATGTTTATTGACTTTGACATACACATCAGTTAGGTTTATAAACTTAGGACAAATCTATTGTTGAATTATTGAACCATAGTTGGAATAGGCAAATATAAAATTAAGATATATATTGTATTAAACATTAATGTATTTCTAAGAAACACAATTCATTTGGAATCCATCTAACTTTTCATTTTATGCCATGTTTCCTACTGTATTTTCATCAGAATATATAAAAATATATGCTGTATTTCATATTTCAATGATTTGAAGGATTATGAGATTTCATTTATATGAAGACATCAAACACCTACTTAGAGAAATATCTATTATTAGTCATGTTTCAGATTCTACACCCAGTTAGCAGCTTATGCAAAAAATATCTCAATTAACCTTATATTTCATGCTAATCTATGACACTTTATTTTTTGAAATAGATTCTTTCAAACTAGAAAATAATCCCTGATTATAAATGAAGCCCCTTTCAAACTGCATGCAGTATTGAATAAATTTTTGGGAGCAGTTTTAGGTTCACAGCAAAATTGAGGGAAAAGTAGAGAAATTCTCCACATAACCCAGCCCCAACACATGCATAGCCTTCCCTATTATCAACATCCTCCACCAGAGTGGAAAATTTGTTATAATTCACAAACCTATATTGACACATCACGATCACCCAAGGTTCATAGTTTACATTAGGTTTCACTCTTGATGTTGTATATTCTAAGGGGTTTAGACAAATGTATAATGGCAGGTGTCTACCATTATAATATCATACAGAGTATTTCACTGACCTAAAAATCTGGTGCTTCACCTATATTCATCTACTCCCTGGCCACACTCCTTCCTCAGTACTCTCAGAAACCACTGAACTTTTTACTGTCTCCATAGTTTTACCCTTTCCAGAATCATCCAGTTGGAATCATAGCATATGTAGCCTTTCCAGACTGGCTTCTTTCACCTAGTTATATGCATTTAACTTTCCTATGTGCCCTTTCATGGTTGGCAGTACATTTATTTTTAGCACTGAATAATATGTATTCTATTGTTTAGGTGTGCCACAGTTTGTTTATCCATTCACCTATGAAGGAACATTTTGGCTATTTCTAAATTTTGGCAATTGTAAATACAGCTGTTTTTAGAAGCTGTATTTACAATTGCCAAAATTTAGAAACAGCCAAATATTGCAGTTTTTCAACTCATTTGGACAAATAACAAAGAGTGCAATTTCTTGATTATATGACAAGAGTATGTGTATTTTTGTAAGAAACTGTCAACCTGTTTTCCAAAGTATTTGTACTATTTTGCACTCCCCCCAGAAACAAATGAGAATTCCTGTTGCTTCACATTCTCACCAATACTTGGTGTATCTAGCGTTTTGGCTTTTGCCCATTCTAATACGTGTGTAATGATAGCTAACTTTCAATTGGCATTTCCCTGGTGACATATAATGTGGAGCATCTTTTTATATACTTATTTGTCATCTGTATACCTTCTTCGGTGAGATGTCTGTTAGGAATCTTGACCCAAGTTTCAATTGGCTTGTTTTCTGATTGTTGAGTTTTAAGAGTTCTTTGTATATTTTGGAAGCAGTCCTTTATTAGATGTTGTCATTGCAAATATTTTCTCCCAGTCTGTGGTTTGTCTTCTTATTGTCTTTACATCCTCTTTCAAAGAGAAGTTTTTAATTTTCATTAGGTCCAAGTTATCAATTACTTATTTTGTAAATTGTGGCTTTGGTGTTGTATCTAAATAGTCATTTCATATACAAGGTAATCTAGGCTTTTTCCTATGTTTTCTTATAGGAGTTTTATAGTTTTGCATTTTACATTTAGGTCTATGGTCCACATTGAGTTCATTTTTTGAAGGGTATAAGATCTGTATCTAGATTCATTTTTTGGCTTGTAGATATACAGTTCTTCCAACACCGTTTGTTGAAAAGACTATCTTTGCTCTGTTGTATTGCTTTTGCCACTTTGTCAAAGATCAGTTGACCATATTTATGTTGATGTATTTCTGGTTTCTCTGTTATGTTCCACTAACACCACACTGTCTTGATTACTGTAGTTTCATAGTGAATCTTGAAGTCAGGTAATGTTAGTCCTCTAATTTTGTTCTTCAGTATTACGTTGTCTATGCTAAATCTTTTGCCTCTCTATAAACTTTAGAATCAGTTTATTGATATCCACAAAATAACTTGCAGGGATTTTCATTGGGATTGCATTAAATATGTAGATCAGTTTGAGAAGAAATGAAATTTTAACAATGTTGAGTCTTCCTATTCATAAGCATGTAATATCTCTTCACTTATTTAGTTCTTTATTTCATTAGAGTTTCATGGTTTTCATCATATAGAGTTTATATATATTTTGTTAGATTTATGCCTAAGCATTTCATTATTTGAAATGCTAATGTAAATGGTATTGTGTTCTTAATTTAAAATTCCACTTGTTCATTGCCGGTAAATAGGAAAGTTATTGACTTTTCCATACTAACCTTATATCCTGTAACCTTACTATAATTACTTTTGTTTTAGATTTTTAAACTTGGATTCTATACACAGAAGATCATGTCACCTGTGAACTAATATAATTTTGTTTCTTCCTTCCCAATATGTATATCTTATATTTCCTTTTCTTGTCTTATTGCTATCTAGAGCTTTCAGTATAATGCTGGAAAGGAGTGGGTAGAGGATGACATTATTGCCTTGTAGTTTCTCACTATAAAGTATGATGCTACCCATAGGGTTTTTTCTGTTGTTGTTGTTTGGTAGACGTTCTTCATGAAGTTGAGGACATTACCCTCTGTTTCTAGTTCTCTTTTTTAAACTATGAATATGTGTTAGACTTCATCAAATCCTTTTTCACTGTCTATTGATATGATCATGTGATTTTTCTTTTGAACCTTTTGATGTGATAAATTACATTAATTGATTTTGAATGTTGTGCCAGCCTTACATATCTTATCATACCTTACACATTTTAATTTAAAATTCCACTTGCTCATTGCTGGTATATAGGAAAATTATTGACTTTTCCATACTAACCTTATATCCTGTAACCTTACTATAATTACTTTTGTTTCAGGATTTTTTACTGTCATGGTGTATAGTTCTTTTTATACCTTGTTGGATCCAGTTTGCTAATATTTTCTTAAGGATTTTTATATTTACATTCATGAAAAATATTGGTCTGAAGTTTTCAAAAAGATTTCTTTTAGTTTCTTTGTCTGTTTTTGGTATTAGAGTAACTTTGGGCTCATGGAATGAGTTAGACAGTATTCCCTAATCTTCTGTCTTCCAAAACAGATTGTAGAAAACTGGCATAATTTATTTCTTAAATGTTTGGTATCATTTAGAAGTGAATCACTTTGGGCCTGGTGCTGCTTTTTGTTTTGGAAGGTAACTAACTATTGATTCTATTTCTTTAATTGATATAGGTCTATTCAGATTGTCTATTCTTGTGTGAGTTTTGGCAGATTTTGTCATTTGAGGATTTGCCTAGTTTATCCAGATTATAAAATTTGGGGGCATAGGCTTGTTTATAATTTTCTTTTAAATCCTATTTATGTCTATGGGATCTGTGGAGATGTCCCCTGTCTAATTACTGTGTAACTTGTGTCTTCTCTTTTTTCATGGTTAGCCCCATTAGAGGCTTATCAATTATACTGATATTTAAAAAAAAACCGCGTGTGGTATTAATTTCTCTATTGATTTTGTATATCAATTTCATTGATTTCTGACTTAAATCTTATTTCTTTTCTTCTGCTTACTTTGGAATTAATTTGTTTTTCCTTTTCTAGTTTCCTAAGGTAATAACTTACATTATTGATTTTAGATATTCTTTTCTGATATATGCATCCAGTGCTATGTTTCTTTCTAAGCATTGCTTTTGCTTCACATCACAATGTTTGGTAAGTTGTGTTTCCATTTTCATTTAGTTTGAAATCTTTTAAAATTTCCCTTGAGATTTCATCTTTGACCACTGTGTTATTTAGAATGTGTTCTGGAATTTTCCAGTTATACTTCTGTTATTGATATCTACTTTGGACAATTGTTAATCAATAATTCCATTTTTATCTGACAGTACACATTATATAATTTCTATTCTTTCAGGTTTGTTAAGGTGTGTTTTATAGGCTAGTTGTCTATCTCAGTGAATGTTCCATGTGAGCTTGAGAAGAATAAGTATGTGTGAAAAAACAAGTAAAAACGGAATAAAAACTTCAGGTAGATCCTAGTTTCTGACGTATATATATTTTCTTTCTCTCAAAGAATGGCTTTTATCATTTCCTGCAATGCAAGTCTACTGGCAAAAACTTTTGGTTTTGTTTATCTGACACAGTCTTTATTTCTCCCTCACTTTTGGAAGATACTTTCACAAAGGTACAGAATTTTTGCTTGGTGATTTTCTTTTTCTCTCGATACTTTAAATATCTCACTCCACTGACTTTTGATTACATGGTGCTATGGAGAAGTTGGATCGTTGTTCCTCTCAGATAATGTGATTTTTTCCTTTTGCTGTTTTTCACAATTTTTTCTTTATCTTTGATTTTCTGTAGTTTGGAAATGATGTATCTATACACAGTTTGTGTGTATTTGTTTTTGGTTTTTGTTTGCTTGTGTGTTTTGTATTGTTTCTTTTTTCCCCCTTGCATTTATCCTGCTTGAAATTCTCTGAGCTACCTGAATCTGTGGTTTGTTATCCGATATTAATTTGGTGCAAGTTTTATCAGTCGTTGTTTCAAATATTTTATATTCCTTTCTCTCTCCTTTCTCTGATGTTCCCACTACATGTATGTTACACTTTTTGTGGTTTTCACACAGTTGCTTGATAATCTTTTTTTTTTTTTTGTCTTTTCTTCTGTTCAGTTTTCAGTTTGGGGGTTTTCCATTGAGATATCCTCAAGTTCAGAGATTCCTTCCTCAGCTGTGAGCAGTCTGTTAATAAGCCCATCAAAATCATTATTTTTGTTACAGTTTTTTTGATCTCTGGCATTTCTTCTTGGTTCTTTACTGGGATTTATATCTTTTTTTCTTACATTTTCTATCTGTTCATCTACTTTATTCTGTACAGCCCTTACCATATTAATGATGTTGTTTTAATTTATTTTGAACTTTTTTCACATTTTAAAAAATTAAACTTTTATTTCAGCTTTATTGAGATGTAATTGATAAATAAAAATTGGACATGTTTTGCTGTATAAGTTTTGTTTTTTTTTTTTTATTTTTTTTTTTTAAGATGGTGTCTTGCTCTTGTTGCCCAGGCTGGAGTACAAAGTGTGATCTCTGCTTACTGCAACCTCTGCCTCCCTGGTTCAAGCAATTCTCCTGCCTCAGCGTCCTGAGTAGCTGGGACTACAGGTGCATGGCACCACACTTGGCTAATTTTTTGTATTTTTAGTAGAGACGGGGTTTCACCATGTTGGCCAGGCTGGTCTCGAACTCCTGACCTCAGGTGATCCACCCACTTCGGCCTCCCAAAGTGCTGGGATTACAGGTGTGAGCCACCATGGCACCCAGCCCTGCATGAGGTGTCTTTTTTGTTTTTTGGTATATGTATACATTGTGAAATGATTATCACAAGTAATCTAATTAATATATCCAACACTTCACATTTTGATCACATTTTTTTTTGTGGTGAGAACATTTAAGATCTACTTTCTTAGCAATTTTGAGGAATATAATACATTATTATTAAACATAGTCACCATGTTTTTCAATCGATCTGTAAAAATTACTTATTCTTTCTCACTATAACTTGGTATTCTTTGACTGGAATCTCCTCATTGTCCCCTCCCTGAAGTCTCCAACTTTGAGAAAGCACCATTCGATGCTTTTATGAGTCCAATATTTTTTAGATTTTACGTATAAGTGAGATCATGGAGTATTTGTCTTTGTAGGCTTATTTTACTTGGCATAACATCCTCCTATTTCATCCATGTGTCAAAATGATAGAATTTTCTTCTTTTTGAAGGCAGAATAATATTCCATTGTATATATAACACATTTCTTTCATTGTTTCATCTAATAATGGACATTTAGATTAATTCCATATTTGGCTATTGTGAATAATGCTTCAATGCACACAGAAGAGAAGATATCTCTTTGACATACTGACTTTATATCTTTGGAAAGATATCCAGATGTGGAATTATTGGATCATATATTAGCTCTATTTTTAATTTTCTGAGGAACCTCTATACTCTTTTTCATAATAGCTATATAAATTTACATTCTGACCAACAGCATACAAGAGTTCCCTTTTTCCACAGTCTCACCAATATTTGTTATCTTTTTTCTTTTGGGCAATAGCCATTCTAACGTCTGTGAAGTGATATCTCATTGTGGTTTAGTTTGCATTTCCCTGGTGATTAGAGATGTTGAGCATGTCTTCTCATATCTGTTGGCCATTCATATGTCTTCTTTTGGGATATGTCTATTCAGGTACTTTGACCATTTAAAAAATTGGGTTATTTGTTTCTTTCTATTGAAATACTGAATATTGCAAATATTTCCAAAAAGTATATTTCTGTGAAAAAGTCATCAAATTTGTGATAGGAATTGTCCTGAATCTGTAGATCACTTTTGGTTGTATAGACATTTTAACAATATTAATTCAATATTAATTCTTTTATTAATTCTATCAATAGACATTCATGCACATAGGATATTGAATTTTTTATACATTTTGGATAACCCTTTAACATATGTATGGTTTGCAAATATTTCTCCCATTCTTTTGGTTATATCTTCATTCTGTTGACTGTTTCCTTTCTGTGCAGAGCATTTTAGTTTGATGGAATTCTGTTTGTCTATTTTCGCTTTTGCTGACTTTACTTTTGTAATCATATCCAGAAATTATCGTCAAGGCCAATGACAAGAAGGTTTTTCCTATGTTTTCTTCTAATAGGTTTATAGTTTCAGATGTTATATTTAAGTCTTTAATTCATTTTGAATTGATTTTTGTGTATGGTGTGATGTAAGAACTCAATTTTATTCTTCTGTGGATATCCAGTTTTCTCAACACCTTTTCCTGAAGAGAGTGAACTTTCCCCATTGCATATCCTTGGTATTTTTGCCAAAGAGCAACTGACTGTACATGTTTGGGTTTATTTCTGAGCTCTCTATTCTCTTCCATTGGTCTATATTTCTATTTTTATGCCAATACCATACTGCTTTATTACTATGGCTTTGTAGTTATTTGAAATAATACAGTGTGATATCTCTAACCTTCTTTTTTGTTGTTTTTATTTTTTTTGAGACAGGTTCTTACCTTTTCACCCAGGCTGGAGTGCAGTGGTGCAAACGCTGCTCACTGTAGACTCAACCTCCTGGACTCAAGTGATTCTCCTGTTTCAGCATCCCCAAGTAGCTGGGACTGCAGGCATACACCACCGCACCCAGCTAACTTTGTACTTTTTGTAGAGACAGGATTTCATCATCTTTTCCAGGCTGGTCTTGAACTCCTGAGCTCAAGTGATCCACTTGCCTCAGCCTCCCAAAGTGCTGTGATTACAGTCATGAGCCACTGTATCCAGCTGATACCTGAAACTTTCTTCTTCCTTTTCAAGGTTGCTTTTGCTCTTCAGGATCTTTTGGGGTTCCATGTGATATTTAATGATTTCCAAAAAGTATATTTCTGTAAAAAATGTCATTAAATTTTTGATAGGGATTGTGTTGAATCTGTAGATCACTTTTGGTTGTATTGACATTTTAACAATATTAATTCAATATTAATTCTATCAGTAGACATTCATGAACCTAGGATATTTTTCCATTTATTTGTGTCTTTTTGATATTTTTCATCAGTTTTATTTTTATTGTACAGAGATTTAACTTTCTTCATTAAATATATTACCAAGTGTTTCATTCTTTTTGATACTACTGTAAATTTTAAAAATTTATTTTGGATAGTTCATTGTTAGTGTATAGAAACAAGTTCTGATTTCTCTATGTTGATTCTGTATCCAGCAATTTTACTGAGTACCCTTATTAGGACTAACAGTTTCTTGGTTTTAGAGTTTTCTCTTTAAAAAATTATCATCTGAAAACAGAGACAATTTAACTTTTTCCTTTCTGATTTGTTTTTATTTTTTTTCTTGACTAATTGCTGTGGCTAGGAAATCTAGTATTATACTACAGAAGGGGAAAGAGAGTGGGCATCTTTATCTTGTCCTAATCTTGGAGGAAAAGCTTTTGACTTCTCACTCTCGAGTATGATGTTAGCTGTGGGCTTGTTACATGTGGCCTATATTTTATTAAGTTCCTTCTATACATAAAGCATTCAGTGTTTTCTTTTTAACCATAAAAGCAGGTTGCATCTTGTCAAATGCCTTTTCTGAATCTATTCAGATGATCATCATATTTTTATTCTTTATTCTATTAATGTGGCATATCACATTTATAGGTTTGTGTATGCTGAACCATGCTTGCATCCCGGGAATACATCCCACTTGATTACGGTGAATGATACTTTTAACGTGTTGCTTAATTGAGTTTGTTGGTATTTTGTTAAAAATTTTTGCGCTTACGTTCATCAGAAATATTGTCCTGTATTTTTTTTTCTTATCATTTCCTTGCCTTGCTTTGGTATCGGAATGATGCTGGCCTTTTAAAAAGTGTTTGGAAGTATGCCTTCCTCTTCATTTTTTTGGAAGAGTTTGAGAAGATTGGCATTAATTCCTCTTTAAATGTTTGGTAAATTAATGAGTGAAGACATCAGATTCTATCTTTTTGTTTTGGAAGGGGAGATTTTAGATTACTGATTCTATCCACTTGCTTGTTACTGATTTGTTCAATTTTTCTATTTCTCTGTAATTTAATATTGTTAGGGTGTATGTTTCCAGGAACGTATTCATTCCTTCTAGGTTATTTAATTTGTTGGTGCATCATTATTCACAATTGTCTCTTATGGTCCTTTATATTTCTGTAGTATCAGTTCTAAGGTCTTCTCATTCATTTATAATTTATTTGAATCTTCTGTATTTTTAAGGCTAATGATAGATTTGTTAATTTTGTTTATTGGTGTATAAAAACAATTCTTAGGTTCTTTGACCTCTCCTGTTGTTTTTCTAGTCTTTTTTCATTTATTTCTGCCCCTGAATTTAGTAATTTCTGTCTTCTGATGACTCAGGGCTAGGTTTCTTCTTTTTCTAGTTGAGATGTAAACTACATTATTTATTGGAGATATTTCTTTTTTTAATGCAGGCATTTATTGCTACAATTCCTCTTAGAACTTTCACTTCATCCCATAAGTATGGGATGTGGTGTTTCCCTTTTCATTTGCGTAAAGATTTTTTTTCTCTCTTGATTTCATCTTTGACCCATTGATTTTTTAATAAATATGTTGTTTTATTTTCACACATTTGTAAATTTTTAAATTTCTTCCAATTATTGAGTACTAGCTTTATATCATGTGGTCACAAAAGACACTTGATATAATTTCAATATTCTCAAATTTATTAAGATGTGTTTTGTTGCCTAACATATGAACTATGCTGGAAAATGTTTCATTTTCACTTGGAAAACGTATGTATTCTGCTGCTGCTTTTATGCAATGTTCTATGTAAGTGTTAACTCTGTTCTATTGTATTTAGTTTGATCTTTCCTTGTTGATTTTGTTTGAATGATCTATCTGTTGTTGAAAATAGGGTACTGAAGTCCCCACTATTATGGAATTGTTGTCTATTTCTCCCTTCAGTTAATAATTGCTATATAATTAGGTGCAGGCCAGAGGCAAATGGGATGATATATTCAAAGCACTGAAAGAGGAAAACAGCCACTCAAGAACATTATACATAGCCAGGCTGTCCTTCAGAAATGAAAGAGAGATAAAGAATTTCCCAGAATAAAACAAAAGCTGTGGAAGGTTTGACCTGCCTTACAAGAAATGTTAAAGGGAATTTTTCAACTGGAGATGAAAGGATGCTAAGTAACAACATACAAAACATATGAAAGGGTAAAACTCACTATAAAGTCAAGAATATAGTCAAATTCAGAATACCGTTTTCCATCACTTTCTTGAACTCCTTATTTTGTTCATGAATCGTTTTCCTTAATTTGTTTCATTTTCTGTTTGGTTCTTTTGCAACTCATTGAACTTCTTTAAGATGATTATTTTGGGCCGGACGCGGGGGCTCATGCCTGTAATCCCAGCACTTTGGGAAGCCGAGGCGGGCAGATCACGAGGTCAGGAGATCGACACCCTCCTGGCTAACAAGGTGAAACCCCGTCTCTACCAAAAATACAAAAACATTAGCTGGGTGTGATGGTGGGCGCCTGTAGTCCCAGCTACTCTGGAGACTGAGTCAGGAAAATGGCATGAACCCGGAAGGCGGAGCTTGCAGTGAGCTGAGATCGCGCCACTGCACTCCAGCCTGGGCGACAGAGCGAGACTCCGCCTCAAAAAAAAAAAAAAAAAAAAGATGATTATTTTGAATTCTTTATTAGGTAGTTCATAGATCTCCATTTATCTGATATCAGTTACTATTGCTTTGGTGGTGTCATGTTTCCTTGATTATTTCATTCCTCTGGTAGTGTCATGTTGCCTTGATTATTCATGATCCTTGTGGCCTTGTGTTAGTATCTGTGCGTTGGAGGAAAGAGGCACCTCTTTCAATATTTCCGAGCTGACTTCAGTGGGAAAAGTGCTTCACCAGTTGGCCCTTCCAGAGATTCATGAGCAAGCTTGCTGTTAGGGTCCCTGAGTGGGCCTGCCTAGTATCTGGGTCAGTAGGTAGGCAGGCCTGGTGACTGAGTCCACATGGACCAGCCTTGTGCCTTGGTTTGTGGGGCTAGACCTGGAGCTTGAGTCCAGTTTAGTGCCATGGGACAAGCCTGAAGTCTCGGTCTGCAGGGATGGACCTGAACAAGCCTAGGGTCTAGGTCTGCAGAGTTGTGCTTGGACTCTTGGCCTACTGGATCAAGCCTGACACTGGGGTTGACCTGGAGCCTGGATCCATAGAACCTGGTCTGGATACTATGTCAGTGGGGGTGCTGGGCTGGATTCTGGGGCCAAAAGGACTGCTTTGGAGCCTCGGTCTGTGAGGAATAGACTAAACCTGGTGTGGGAGTAGAGCCTATGTCTGTGAAGGCCATGGGGGATAGCCTGGTTCTGGGGCAGACCTGAGGTCAGGTTTCCATGGGGCAAGCCTGCTGCTACGGTTCATGACAAAGATGCCTGCTCATTTCACTCCCTTTCTCCCATGCAGAGAGTACCTCTCTCCATGCTATGCTGCCTGGACTTGGGGAAGGAGTAATGCAGGTAATGTGAAACTGTCCTTTCTATCTTCATCAATGTGTCTTTTCTTATTTTTATAGTACACCTAGTGCTGTAGTCTCTCACCTGAATTCCTTAGCTTTTGTGAAGTATTTTTGAATGTGGATAGTTGTTCAAATTGATGTTTCTGCGAGGAGACAAGCCCAGAAAGTCCTATTTTACCATCTTGCTGATGTCACTCCAATTACAGCTGTTTTAAATTCTTATTGTGATAATTCCATTATCCCTGCTATATCTGAGTCTTGTTTGGATGCTTGCTCTGTGTATCCCCACCCAAATCTCATCTCAAATTATTAATCCCCACATGTGAAGGGAGGGATCTGGTGGGAAGTGATCGGATCATGAGGGTGGTTTTCCCCAAGCTGTTCCCATGACAGTGAATGAGTTCTCATGACATCTTGTGGTTTTACAAATGGCAGTTTGCCCTTCACTTTCTCTCTTTCTCCTGCCACCATGTAAGATGTGCCTTGTTTCCCCTTTGCCTTCCACCATCATTGTAAGTTTCCTGAGGCCTCCCCAGCCATGTGGAACTGAGAGTCATTAAACCTCTTTTCTTTTAAATTACCCAGTCTCAGGTATTTCTTCATAGCAGTGTGAAAACAAACTAATACACTCCGTATCTTCAAGTTGTATCCTTTTCTTTTTAGTATGTCTTGTAGTTTTTTCTTGATAGCCGGACATGGTGTAGCAAGTAAAAGTTACTGCTGTAATAGGGTGGTAGGAAGGTGAGGGAATGTGTTCTATCCTGCTGTGATTAGATCTCAGTCTTTCAATGAGCCTATAGCTTTGACTGTGGTTTCACAAGTGCTTCCCAGTCTCCCCCAGCCCTCACTTATGTGAGACAGCATGGCTAGAGTGGGCTGAAGTCGGTTATTTTCCTTCCACCGCATGGAGGGCTAGAGCCAGCTGGAGTTTGGATTTCCCTTCCCCCAGGTCTGTTAGGTCTGGATAAAATTCCAGAAGGTTTAGCTCTGGTTAAATAGTTTCTCCTGAGGACAGGCCTTGTTAAGAAGAAGAGAGTTCTCTGGTGTATTTCAGAATGATTTCTTTTCCCCTCCTCATCCGAGAAGCAAGAAGGGATTTTCCTCCTGCATTTACTGTGAGAACCTGGTTGAGCTCCTGGAGGTAAAACTTAGGAAACTGTTGGGGACCTTCTGTGAGTTGTTGGTCAATGATGGAGTTTTAAACTCTTATACTTGTTCACACTGAGTCTGCAGCAATTTGTTAATTATGGTTCAAGTTTTCCTGTTCTTGCACTGGTTTCCAAGGCAGTTTCTGCTCTGGCAAGCTGTGACTTCCTGTATTTGCCTGTCTTCTAACCTTGGGCGCAATGGTTTGCCCGCTATCCTCAACTCTTTTATAGATCCAGGAAGAGTTGATTTTTCAAGTCTGTCCAGTTTATTGCTTGTTGTTTGAGCAGAGTGGCCACTTTGAAGCTACTTACACACAAAACCAGAAAATGGAAGTCAGTATGAAATTTTTGAAACCAAAATATTTATATTTAAAAAACAAAAATAGCAGTTTGTGCGACTAAAAATCTAGCCCTCATTTCTATTATATATATAATTTATCTTGTGTATTCAGCAACTTTTAAGGTTATTGATTTTTAAAATATTTAATGCAAGTTCAGTGAATATAGACTTATACACAATTAAAAGTTTGATGCTAGAAAGCTGGACAAAGAGTTATTTATAGTTTTTCACACTATGGCAGTTGGGTGCTATGCTTCAATATATCTACTTTATCATAACTTTATTTAAGTTATTATGCTGGTTAAAGGCCTACAAAGGTCTTTTTTTACACAGAAGTTTCCATGAGTGTGTTGTCAACACAGATGCTTTTCCACTCCTCATGTAACCTTGAGTAAAAACATTATTATTTTCCTTTAAGAAATGTGATCATTACATTTTTGAATTTCTGCCAGTGATAAAAATTTGAAAAGTTGTAAATATCTCTTAGTTTCAGTTTTTCTGGCTGCCTAGAACTTTTTAATATAATCTTGCCCGTTTGGAAATTTTCCTCCCTATGAGTCTTACCTTCCCATGATAGAAACCAGAAAACGATTCCCAACATTCTTTGTGGCTGAGGCCCAGACATGTGTACAAATCTCCACTCACTGGGCATATTAATCAGATAATCCAATTGGGAAGTTGGCAATTTGATGAAAGACTCAAAGTGGTGAACCCATTTTTGTGGGGAGGATGATGGCAGAAGCATCCGACTTAGGTGGTGAGGGTGGATGTTTGCGCTGCGTTCTGGGATAGGACTGTTATTCCAGCTGGTGTCAGGAGCTGTTGAAGTAAAATAGAGTTCCTTGCCACAAATTTTATAAACTGAAATAACTGCTGCATGTTAATGGCAGTGTCCACGGCAGTGGTTTTCTCATTGGCCCCTTTTGTAATGTAGTTTAGAGCATTATTTTTGAAAGTGTAGTCTTAAATCTGGTTCTCCGGGCTACTTGTCTAATATATCCACCCAATAATCTCCCTTTTTGCTTGGTCAGCCACAGTCAGCTTCTGTGGTTTGCCTCTAAGAGTCCTGTTACAAATCACCTCCTACTGCTTTTTTCTATTATTATTTTTTTGCACAGACACTTGATTTTATCTCCTCCCTTAGCAGATCAATTATACTGCTTTTTAAACTTTTTTTACTGGTGTGTTAGGGTTTCTGTTAGTTTTTAAACCAATCTAAGTCCAACTGCAATGAACACTATCTTCCTTCAAATGTAGGGTAGGTACCTTATAAGTGAATATTCCCCTAATTCCTGCTTCTAGTCCCTTGTACTATTCCTGTTAATTACATAGTTATCCATATGCTGTCACCACACATTGTTGCTGTTACAACTTTAAACATAGTTCTCTTTTAGATTAAGACTGAGAAATTAAAAAAAATATTCCTTTTTATAGCTCTTCCTTTGTGTAGACCTGAGTTTCCGAATGGAATTTTTTGTTTTCTTTTTGCCCAAATAACTTCCTTTAACATATCTTGCTAGGAAAGTCTAGCAGCAACGAATTCCTTCAGTCTTTGTTTGCCAGAGAACATCTTTACTTCTCCCGGACTTTGAAGACAATTTTTGCTGGAAATAAAATTATTGATTAGTATTTTTTTCCTTTCAATATTTTTAATATTTCACTCTACTTTCTTCTTGCTTTTACTTTTTCATGGTCTCTGATGAAGAAGAATATAATTATTATCTTTGTTCCTTTATAGACAAGGTGATTTTTTCCTCCGATTTTTTCCAAGATTTTCTCTATGTTTCTGGCTTCCTGCAGTTTGAATACAATATAAATAAGTATAGTTTTGAAATTACTATTTCTGGTTGGCCCTTCCTGAGCTCCATGATTTATGCTTCGGTTTCTGTTACTAATTTTGGAAAGTTCTTGGTCATGATGACTTCAGATATTTGTTCTGTTCCTGTTTTCCCTCCCTCTCTCCCTCCCTCCCTTCCTTCCTTCCCTCCGTCCCTTCATCCATTCCTCCCTCTGTTTATTCTTCACCTTGTGATATTTCAATTTATATTTTACACCTTTTAAAACTGTCCAAAAATTTTTGGATGATACACTTTTTTCCCATTCTCTCTTCTTTTTGGCACTTCTATTTGGAAAGTTTCCATAGGTTTATCTTCAAGCTTGCTGATTTTTTCTTCTGATCTGTCCAATCTACTGATGAGTCCGTCAAAGGCATTCTTCATTTCTATCACTGTGTTTCTAATTTCTAGCATCCCCTTTTGATGCTCTGTTACAATATTTATCTCTATGCTTACATCTTACATTATGCATTTGTTCTTTCATGTTGTATAGTTTTTTATTACAGTTGTTAGCATTTTAGTTATTTAAAATTCTCTTATATTTGAATGTTTGTGTCATAGCTATGTCTCAGTCTGACAATTGCTTTGTCTCTTCAGAATTCTATTTTTCCTTTTGGTATGCATTGTAATTTTTGTTAGTGGCTAGACATTTTCCACTGAGTATGGAGAACTAAAGCAAATGGGTATTTACTGTCAGAATTTATGGTAATCTGGCTAGGAGTTGGGCTGTGTTAATGTTTGCTGTAGCTGTAAGTGGCAGAGGCTTAAAATTTCTCTAGCATCCTTGTTTTTGTCTCCCCTCTTAACATTGGGTTGCCTAAGTACTACTTCTCAGAGAAACTCTGAATTGTGTATTTCTTTCTGCTGTAATCCACTGCTATCATATTGGAGCCCTGTACAACCTGTGGTGGTCAGGGGTGGTATAGGGGAAGCATGCTGTGCCTTTTGATTAAATATTAGTCCCTTAGTAGGCCTGTTTCCCTGGACTGTGACCTTCACAATTGTAGCTCCAATAGCATAGTTTCCTCCCTGCTCAGGTGAGACAGGAAAGATAAAGGGGGATAGACTGGAAGAAATACTATTTCTCTAGGTGAAATAAGATTCTGGCAAAGTCTATTCCTTTGGAGAGTAAGCTTTTGTTATGAAGAACATCCTGGGAAGATTTCATAATGATTTTTATTTTCCCGTCCCTGCTGAAGCCAGGGTCTTTTAACTTTTTAACATAAGATCCTGGTAGGGATCATAGAGGTAAAACTCACAGAAATATGGGAACCCCCTAAGACTGCAGCCCCTAGAATTTCTCATTCTCATGCTAGTTTACACTCAGCCTCCAGCAATTTCTTGCAATTACTATTTTGCTTTTGCTCTCGTTTCATGGCTTCTGCTCTGGGAAAACAGATATTGGAGGTAACTCTCTGATCTATCTCCCCAGATTTGGGGATGGCTTACAACCATGGTTCCTTGATGGGTCAAAGAAAGGTCACTGATTTTTATTTTGTTATATTTTCTCTCTTTCTGTAAGAGTGGGAATGATGACTTCCATACTCTTTGTTTTTTTTTTTTGTTTTTTTTTTTTGAGACAGAGTCTCACTGTGTCACCCAGGCTGGAGTGCAGTAGCGCGATTTCGGCTCACTGCAACCTCTACCTCTGCCTCCGGGGTTCAAGCAATTTTCCTGCCTCAGCCTCCCGAGTAGCTGGGATAACAGGCGCCCACCACCATGCCTGGCTAATTTTTTTGTATTTTTAGTAGAGACAGTGTTTCACCATGTTGGCCATGCTGGTTTCGAACTCCTGGCCTCAAGTGATCCTCCCACCTAGGCCTCCCGAAGTGCTAGGATTACAGGCATGAGCCACTGCACCTGGCTGTCTTCCATACTCTTGACATGTTGCCAAAACTATACATCCCTGGATTTACTTTTTATACATGTAGATAACAATGATTGAAAATGATATATGAAAGAAAATTCATTTATCTAATGTGATTTTAGCTTTGGCAAAATAATACCTACAGTTATACTGGGAGAGAGATCAGATTAAATTTTAGGTTGCATACGTATTAGAAAGTGGAACACAGACAGTAGGCTCTCTTAATCAGTTGATATATCTTCTTCTTATGTAACTACCTTGTTGGACGCCTGCCTATGGCAGAGGAGGTAACCTAAAGCTTTGCAAGGCATCAAGATGAAGCCATTTTCTCCAAACAAGATGTTTTGCCTGTGCACCAGGTCACTAATGGGATTGTAAAGGGCTTACAACTCCCTCCACCCTCAAACTTGAAGCTTTCCATCAATATCAAAGTTCTCTAAACCAGAGATGCAGGAAAATTAGGCTTCAAAGGTAGTTTTCAAAATAAAGTGCCATTTCTTACTAATTAATCATGAATCGTGAATGTTTGCTTCACCATTTTAAGAGTCTACCTTTTTCATTCACACTCATTTATAACAGCAATTTTAAAATTGTGGTTTCTTTGCAGGACTTCATAGAGCTTAATCAGTGTTTGGTGTTGCTTTTCCTTTCTAGACCAGTAGGAACATTTTCATAGCCCGTTGCTCAAGGAAGCTAGAACAACAGTGGTCAGAATGCTGCAGTGTCAGAAACACATCCAAGATCAGCTTCCAAAATGGTGCAGTCAAAGACTGTTGACTTATTTGACTCATCCAAATTCAGAAGACATATTAAAGGAATCCAACATTAAATATCTAATCATACTTTAAAATGAGGATATTTTACTAGACACACTGAGTTAACTGACAGTTCATGAAGCCATCATGTCCCTTCTCTCTCACCTCAGTTGATTTTAGTATTTCCAGTGTACTTCATTTTCAATTAGCTTTTTCTGCTTTTATTCAACAATTTTGCCTAGAGTAAGAGCCTCACAATGATATGAAATGCTTATAAGCTCTGATCTCACCTCCTACATCTCAATCTCTTTTAACTCCCTTCCAGCCATGGCTTTCTTACTGTTTCTTGAACACACTATGTATGCTTTTATTTTAGGACATTTATGTCAGTTGTTTCTCCTGCCTCAATCTTTTTTACTCTTATTAAATGCATGTGTAACTCCCTCATCGCCTTAAAGTTTTTACTAAATTCTATCTGCATAGGGCTACCTTGACAACCTTATTTAATTTCCAACTTGCCCACCCCTGGTTTTCCTCATCCCCATTCATCTGAGCTTCCTTTTCTTATTTCTGTGTCATGTATCATTTTCTAACATGCTAGTAATTTACTAACTTATTTTCCTTATTATTTATTCTTTGTTGACCCCTGCTAGAATGTAAACTTCAGCTCCCTGATACCGATATATCCAGAGCAGCTAGTGCCTAGAAAATAGTAGCTGCTCATTGCATTGTTGCTGAATGAATGAACGACCAAGCCTTTATACTGTACTAATTCTATGTCCCAGGCCCTCTGCTAGGGAAAGCAATTCTCAATAAGTTATAGATTTTGGACTTAATAAGCAGAGCTGTGAATACATAATTCTGGTAGTAGAAAAGAAATCAGATTGGAGGGTTCTGAGCAAGAAAATGGTTCAAGGATAAAACGTGGAGAAATGTGCCTAGAAAAAAAAATTAAAAAGTATTGGCAAATTAATTGGATGGTGGAACATGAAGGAGAAACATATAACAATGATTACTTCTAAAATGAGATTAGGAATGCAGGGAAATATACAAATTTCGAAGATGAATATGTAGATATATTTCTGTCTATGTTGTATATAAGGTACTCGTGGTGTGTTCAAGGGTGGATGCTAAATAAGATTATATAAATTCGGAGCATGAGAGAAAGATCTGATGTGCAAATAAAAATATAGGTTTCATTACTATTTGGGTAATAATTGAAGTTATGCTTTCGATGACATTTTCAGAGAGGGGTAATGCAAAGGGGACCTAGATATGCAGAGAAAGAACACCAGTAACAGCAATTTCAAAGGCTGGTGAAGTAAGACCTACAAAGGAGAGTGAGAAGGTGAGTTTGGAAAGGTAAGAGGAAAATCAAATGTCAAAGAAGAAGAAAAGTTAAAGAAAGGAGCAGGTGATAGTGACAAAGATTGCACTATCAATCTTTGTCACATTGTGTTACACACAACAAAGACATAAGACCAGAAATTATGTAAAAATAACCATTTTTAGTGTATATATCCCTCTTTAGAAATAGGTGTATTTGGAATGTATGTGTGCCTATGGTTTGGGGAACAAAAGTTGTGAGTAATAAATATATAATTGGTTGCAGTTCAGAAAGTTCAGTCCTGAAAATTTCATGTACTTTTTGCTATATTGCAGGATCATATAGTTCTTCTTTAACTTTAGAAGACTATAGAAAGGATACGCTTTCATGAGCTGTCAATGTATGGACTTATAGGGTGAAGAAAGCATATTTCTTGACTTTTTTGAACATGTATTAGAGACAGGTGTGGAATGAAAACCTGCAAAAGCAGAAAGGGCAGAGGAAGTTATGTGGTTTATGACAGTCTTGTGAAAGCTATTAGAAGTGGAACATAATGGGAAACCATCAAAAAGTTTTAAAAGAATGGCTAATAAAGTCAGGTATGATAGCACATAAAACATGTGCCTTGCTAAGGCTGTGAGATGGCTTGTACTAAAAGTAGGACACATGGTCATCCTCCTTGCGTTTTTGGTACCCAGCATATTTTCATGCGTATTATAGATGCTTAATGACTAGTTGCTGACCAAAAGCAAATATGCTAGGCCTATCGCAGAAATATCTCAGGCAGTGGAAATAACATATGCACAAGCTCTGAGGCATGAAAAGTTCTGGCATATTGGAAAAATGATTATAGGTCTGATAGAGAGTGGAGAGTTGGATTTATAGAGTACAATGTAAAGCTAAAAAAGTAAGCTTTGTAGGCAATGGGAAACAACTTTAAAAGAAAGAGTTGCATTTGATTTGCATTTTAGAAGAAGGTTGTGGTGTTGACTTGGATGGATCAACTTTTAAGGGAAGGACAGAAGTAGATGAATCTACAAAGGTAATGAGAAGGATTGTCTAGACTGAGAAGGCAGATGAAATAGGAGAGCCAGTGCAGGGAGAGACAGAGAGAGGGAGAGAGAGAGAGAGGAGAGAGGGAGAGAGGGGGAGAGAGGCGAGGGGAGGGGAAGGGAGGGGAGGGGAGGGGAGAGGAGAGAAGAGATGAGGGAGAGAGATTGATTCAATTAAAAGGTGCAGAAATATTAAGTAAAAGCCAAAAAGTAGCCAGTGGATTTGAGACTCATTTCATTATTGTTGTCTGCTCTCCTTCTGGAGCATACATTATAAGGGATTGCAGAGAGAAAGGAAAATGAGCAATTGGACGAAGGGAATTTACAAAATTATTTCTAACTGCTTGACTGGGAAGGGAAGTAGGACACAGAGGAATCACAGGATTTAAAAATTTTTATATGTTCAAAGGTACAAAGACTCGATATCTTTGTATAACCTATAACAGAAAGATCTTGAAAATATAAAAGAGTCAGAAAATTCTGCTTGAAAAAGGAAAATAAACCAGAACACAGGTATAGAGATTAATTAACCCCAGACAGCAAAAGAAATAACTGATTCTCTGCCATAGGAGGAAAGAAAGTAATAATGGTTGTGGAGGTAAATGAATTCGTAGATGGGGTTAAGAAGCAGAGTACTGAAATAGAAGGGTTGTTGTTGGCCAAAAATGCAGAAATGCATTAGTAAAACTCATTATGCGATTTTCAATTACTGTAGCAATGGTAAAGGGTTTACTGTTTAAATTGAACTAAGAAGTGCCACTGAGGCCCATAAAAGAAGAGTTGGACTAAAAGCAGATTTATAAACCAATGATGCAAATCTCTTCTTGACTACTGACTCTTGCATTTTACTTATTAAGACAATATCTGCTGGGCAAGAGGATTATTTACAGAGGGTTGTATTTATTTCCCTGAAGTTGAATCAATAAATAAAAAATTAAAAATACATATCTATAGCTTTTTTCTAATTTTTCCCTCCTTGAGAATTCTTTTTATTTGTTTTTAATATGATCATTCCTAAAATTGTTTTCTTTTGCAATTACCTTACAGAAACACAATTATATTTTTATTGCCTTTAAGTAAAGAAAAGATTATCACATTTTATGCGTTAAAAACCATCTAATAGATCACCTTCTACTCACCAGTCTATTGGTAATTATGAAGTACAACAAAAATCACCACTCTAGCATGCTATAGTGAAGAAGGAAAAAAGTCGAGGAAAATGCCTCACACGTAGGAGTCACTCAGTCAATGTTTGGGGAATCCAGATATCTGTTGGAAGTCGGGCCAAATTCAGAGCCAGTCTCTGGCACAGTTCTATCCCTCTGTGACTTTGGGCTGTGTCCTGGATGCATCAGCACTCTTGACTGTGGGCTCTGCAGCCTCAGTGCAGACATCAGTAGGCTTGGCAGGAGTGGCCTTGACATTGGCAGGGCTTGTGAACCGTGGAGGCACCTTGGGGGATGCTCAGTGGTGATCTGGTCAGAGGGCTCTGGAAGCATAGCTCTCGACACACACAACAGACACCCCAGGGGTGCTGCAGAGGGAGACAAGACCAATCCCACGTAATTATCTGCAAACTCATCTGTGGAGACCACAGACATCTCTGTGGCATTCCCAAAAACATTACAGGAGGAAATGAGGTGAAGGATTGAAGGTATTCAAAAAGCAGATGCAGAGAATTACTGTGTGATAGCTGATCTTTAGATCCTCATTTTAGCCCCCAGTGGGATAACCAGGAAAACAAGGGCTTCATATTCACAGACCTTAAATCCTCCTTTTTTTTTTCTCTACTACTCTTAAGTTCTTATCCATCTTTTAATATGACTACTACCACTGCTAAAATGATAACAAAAATGATAGGACTCATGCGTTTTATAGCATGTTTACCTACTACTATGTGCCAGTGTATACTTCGTTAATAACTGTATCTGAATCATCTCATTTCAGCCTCAAAAATGTAACCCCAGAAGAGAGGTAATATCCTTATTTTGCAGCTTGATTATATTGTAAAAGTGAAACTCGAAGAGATGAACATCAATAGCCACATTTGCATACCTAGTAATGTGGAGCTAGGGCTTAAAACTGTTAACTGTCTTCTTGATGCTAAAATGACTTTCACCCCTTACTGCAGATGTGACCTTACATCTGATGATGCTCCTTCGTGTACTGCAAACTTACACGGTACAGTAACAAGGAAAGTCCTATGTGGGCTGATACTCTGTGAGAGGTGCTTTCCTCTTTCTATGTTTGTCTTTGTGTTGTTGTTTTTAGAGACAGGGTCTTACTCTGTCACCCAGGCTGGAGTGCTGTGGCATGATCATAGCTCCCTGTATCCTCAACCTCCTGGGCTCAAGTGATCCTCTTGCTTCAGCCTCCTGAGTAGCTGCAAGTGATCCTCTTGCTTCAGCCTCCTGCATAGCTCGGACTACCGGCGCGTGCCACCATGCCTGGCTAATTATTAAAATTTTTTTGTAGAGATGGGGTCTTGCTGTGTTGTCCAGGCTTTTCTCAAACTCCTAGGCTCAAGTGATCCTCCTGCCCTGGCCTCCCAAAGCACTGGGATTATGGGCATGAGTCACTGCACTAGGCCTTTATGTTTGTCTTTAAGTAAGAAAGTCTGATTAGCCTGTCTAAATAAGAACACATTACATGAAAAGCTGAAATCGGATACAAAGTTATGCAAATTAAACCAATAATAGCAGTTGTTAAAGTTATATTGCTATAGAATATTAGGAGTTTGGTTATTTTCACTGGAATATATCACTACACTTAAGCTATCCCTCTGTGAATAAAACAGTAATACCAAATCCTTTATATTCACAGTTTTGCCTTTTCATAATATGATTATAATATTACGTGTGTATTAAATAAATTTAATAATATTTACTCCTTCCTAAATATGCTTCTTATTCTTATTTTTAAAACTAACATGATAAAATTTTCATTTTGAACAACTTTTCAAACTTTGCTCTAAAAAATGAAAGTTCTCATTCTGGTATAAGTTATTTACTATTAGCACGAAGAAACAACACTGGTTACTCATGCGAGAATAAGTGGTAGTCATGTAGCTAACCAAGGAAATGAAATAAATCTGGATTTTACTTTACTTTTAAAATTATCCTTTTAAAATATTACTATTGATACATTTAATGAATAGGAATTACCTAAAATTATGACTACATCATGGTACATATGATCCTCTGGGTTCCCATTTAATGAATTGCGAGTATACCATAAACAGTGTCTTTTTCAATTGTTCCACTAGAGAAAATCCAAGTTTTCTCACTGTTATTAAAACTTAAAAAAGGAAATATAATTTCACCTTAAAAGCGTTTAATCTCTGAAAAGCAAAGTAAACAAAATAGAATTTTTCTCAGTAACTCCATAAAATTATCCAGATATTGGAAGGGGATATTGGTTCGGCCAACAGAGAGATGCATCAACAAAAAATATATGTTTGCATATTAGAAAGCCCAATGACAGTGACAGCAAGAAAATGCAAGTCCATTTGAATAATATCCCTCTAAGCGATAAACCCTTAAGGCACCTTTCCCACCCCAATGAGAAGGCGTCAAATCAGAAAGACAAAAGGTCACAGCAACAATTAAAACCTTCCTTATTCACTTAAATCTCCTGTCCAATGACCATCCCTTCTCCACATGTGTATCTTATCCTCTGCTGACCATTCATCTCAGTTCCATTAGGAGTCAGATAATCAACTGACCGCATTGACTCCCAGTCTCTGGATTTACCGCTGACTCCTGGGCCTGTGGTGCCTGGGTAAGCAATAATAATGATGATAGTAAAAACCTTTATTTTATTATCAGGTTGATGACAAAATACTTTATTATCAGGTTGATAAAGGCTTACGTTTTCCATTGCTTACCAGGTGCCCATGATTGTTCTAAGTACTTGGAATTTATTAATTTTCACAAAAGCCTCAATTTACAGATTAGAAAATTGTGCCACAGAAAGTGAAGTAACTCCCCTCAAGTCCAGAGTTCATAATGGGGGATCTGGAATCTAGAGGCCATGTCTCTGTTCCGTGCACCATACTTCCACTCAGAATTTTTGCCTTGCCTTCACTGGCTTAGCCTCAGGGTCCTTTCTGGTCAGCTGTTCTCATGATAAGCTTTTACTGATGCTGTTGGTAGTCCGACATTCATGGAACAACTTCCCTCATTCCCCCTTCCTGTCTTAGAGAAGAGTATTTGAAACTAGAAACTTTTGCAATTGCTCTGCCCTTTCCATGCCAATCCCATTAGGCGCTGTGTGATTTGACCAAGCTGTGACAAGGTGTGTTTTTAAGTTTTTAAGCATAATTTGTGAAATGAAGCCCCCCAACCCCGACTAATATCACATTGTCATAGTAATAATACAAAAAACTGAATAATATAATAAATATCTAGGTTTTCTCATATTTGTCATCAAAAGATGTCTGACTTACATCTATATACCCGAAGTCAAACACAGAAAAGTAAACCATAAGGACTTTAAGTTGACTATCGGCCATTGTAACTCCGTGTGTGTGTGTGTGTGTGTGTGTGTGTGTGTGTGTGAAGGGATGGGGGAGAGAGGGAGAGATTGTACATCTGTAAAAATTCCCTTATTCCAAAAATAATTATGTAACTTTTACTCTGTGTGAGGTGTTGCACTAGACAAGGGGGCACCAGTATAAAACCCTGGCAGAGAGATGAGGACACATAAAATGCTACTATCAGAGCTTAGAAGAGGAAATTCCAGTATGGATAAAAAGGTTGTGCTTATGCCATATTTTGTAACAGTATTTGTTCCGTAACAGAAAAAAAATTGCTGTTACTTCCTTAAAAATTGACTAGAAAAATCTGCCAATGATGAGCTATTAATAGTACTAAAATTTAATAATATTCACTTTGTAGTTGGAGCAAGAAAGTGATGAAAACTGAAAATAAATAAGGAGTCTTCTAAATAAGCTATAGGTGCAACATGGAATGGCAAAAAAGAGAAAGACTTATTTTATTTGTAGAGAATATAGGCACATTTCTTACATGTGAAAAATAATCATTTTATAATAATAGTAAGCTCATTAATTCCACAATTTCTCTTATTTTTGTTGCCATCACATAAGTATATTGGTATCTTTTGAGACAATGTCCCATTGTAATACTTCTTATCCTATCCTTGGAGAGGTTCTAATTTTGCATCTGGCACAATCTTCTTTAGACAGTTCTATTTATGTACACATCTTTTTTTTTCTTGTAAAAGGAGGATTAACCTACCCTATCTTAATGGTCTCTTCCCAGTTTTAAATAACTGATTCCATGAGATGGTATGAAGAAATGTGCCCACCACATAAATCTTCTAACCCTCTGAATTTTTTGATAATTTTACAACATATGCTTACATAAATATTAACCATATTAATATTTTATTTAGTTTTGCATGATTTTGTGCTTAAGTATATATAATATGACTCTATGTATGTGTGTATATATGTATGTATCCATTCTTGTGTTAATGTATTCTTGAGTTTTTTTTTGGCTTTTTGTTTTGTTTTGTCTTGACTACAACCAACAAATAAGCAAAAGCTTCTCTAAGGTCTTGTCTTAGAGAATGCCTGTGCTCACCCAAGTCCAGGTTCTCCTCTCCTTTCCAGCCACACACCAATACTGCATTTCTAAGCCTCCTTTGCAACTAGATGGGGCTGCGTGATTGCCTTTTGGTCAAGGCAATGTGAAGAGAAGTGATGTATGCCACTTCCAGGCTTATTTCCAGAAATCCCATACTCATTCTCTTTCCTTATCTCCTAAGCAGAAAGACCTCACATGTGGTATTGGCTCAGCAGTCACCCTAGCAAGGGATCATATATCAAAACTTTAAAGATTGGAGATCTGGCTGGGTGCGGTGGCTCATGCCTGTAATCCCAGCACTTTGGGAGTCTGAGGCAGGTGGATCACGAGGTCAGGAGTTTGAGATCAGCCTGGCCAACATGGTGAAACCCCATCTCTACTAAAAATACAAAAGTTAGCTAGGCTTGGTGGCGGGTGCCTGTAATCCCAGCTACTCAGGAGGCTGAGGCAGGAGAATCGTTTGAACCCGGGAGGCGGAGGTTGCAGTGAGCCGATATTGTGCCATTGCACTCCAGCCTGAACGACAGGGTCAGACTCCATCTCAGGGAAAAAAAAAAAAAAAAAAGGTTGGAGATACTTGTAACAGCATGGCAAGAATCTGGTAAGACGGTTGCTAGTGATAACTTGGAAGGCAGATCAGTCACCTGCTGAACTTTCAGCTGAAGAGGATAAAGATTAGAAAAGATAATGTTTACAGTGGGTTTGCTACAATTAGCTGCCTTTTATTGTAGGTATTATAGTAAAATTTAAAAGTATAAAATAAAAGTTATTATAAGAACAATATTTAAAAGGGAGAACAATGGCAATAGAGCCAGTCTAGAAACTTACGACACCACAAAGGTGGAGTTGTCAATTCTTCTAGAACCCATAGGTAAGAGAGAAAATGTCTAAGAAGCTGTGCAAGGCAAAGGGACAGTAAAAAATCTGTTTAATAGAAGTCAGTTAGACTTGGGGAAAAATGGAGATGAATGTCTGCCTCCCAAGCCTCCTGTCCCGTGTCATCACATAGTCACCCATTACTTTAGCAAAGGAGGCATCGAATAGTAAGCAAAGAAATAAAGCATGTCTAAGAATTCTAGGAAAGAAATTTGGGTGTGGTCGCTGACACATGAAATTAAACAAAAACAAGTAGATCACATGCCTCCTCCTATCTTGAGGGAATTTCACTGCCAAAGAAACTAACTTTAATATTGGATATTCCAACTGCTAAACAACCTCTGGACTCCTGATGTGGGCAGTATTGTACCCCCCATTCCCCAAATTCACATGTTGAAATCGAACCCCAGTAATGCATAATGAGACTGTATATGGAGATAGGGACTTAGAAGATGCAGTTAGGTCAAAATGAGGCCTTTCATTCAGGGCCAATTCAATCCGACTAGAGTGCTTGTAAGAAGAGGAAATCTGGACATGCAAAGAGATATCAGGGAGGTGCACACATAGAGGAAAGGTCAGTGACACAGTGAGAAGGCAGCCACCTGCAGGTCCAGTAAGAAACCAAACCTGCCAGCACCTTGATCCTGGATTTCTAGCTCCAGAACTGTGAGAACATCAATTTCTGTTGTTTAAGCCACACGGTCTGTGGTGTCTTTTTATGGCAGCCCTAGTGAACTAACATACTTGCAAGCTAACTTCAGCAGGGAATGGCTTGCAAAAGTTTTCCAGACTCTGAGCAAAGCCTACTCTCCAACACTCATTTCAGATGTGGCCAAGGAGGATGGTTAACACGAAATAATGTTCTAGAGCATGGAGGTAAAACAACATTGGATGGTAAAACAGCATTCTTCCTCGTAACATCAGGGTCAAATCGAGGAACACTCTACTCTCGGGAAAGGGATCTGTGCAGTATCTCTTAAGGGTTCTTCCTAATTGCTCTAGGTCAATGAATATGGGGTGTCTCCAGTTCTTCATCTTTCTTAACAGGCATGATTTCTTACTGCTATCTTGTCATTGTTGCACATTTATATGTGGGAGTTTTGGAGAAAGTTGATTGTCTTTTTAATTTCTAGGCGGCTGGACTCTGAGGACCATATCTGGAGAAGATCGCAGGTAAGCCAGAGATCCTAGACACTGAGCTGGATAAAGTGTTTAGATGAGTTGGTCTCCCTTGGGAAGAGAGTGCTGCCTTCTATTTGTGGTTAATAAGGAAGCAAGGAGATATTTGGTGACCAAAAGGAACAACTGTGACAGAGATTGCTAAAGCTCATCAGTATCCATATTCTCCTTTCCCTTCTCTCTACAAAACTCCACTACCTTATCCAGCATCCCCTACAGTTAGGTCAAGCCATTTGACTGAGTTTAGGCTGATAGAATCTTTAAGGAGGTGACGTATAACCACTTCCAGGTCTATTGTATAAAATCCCCTACTCCTCATTTATTCTCTACCCTTGTCTCCTGACTGGGTGAAGGTAATCCAGGAGAAGACTCAAGACTCAGAAGAACCACTAGATTGAGTAACTGTGGGGGTAGAACTCTTGCCACATCAGTATGTGATATGAGTACGAAATGAAACTTTGTTGCAGTAAGACACTGAGGTTTGAGTGTTGTTTGCTATAACTAGTATTACTTATGTTGACTTATGAGTACACTTGCTGGATCACAGGCTATGTGTATGTCCAAATGTACTAGAAAATGAAACTTTACCATTATTGTTGAATCAATGTATAGTCGCATGAGTACACTATGAAAGTATTCGAGTGGCTTCATATTCTCCCCAACACTTTCCATTGTCAGATTTAAACATTTTTGCCAATATAGTGGTATAAAATATCGATCATAGATTTAATTTGAATTTTCCTGAGTAAATAATGAGAATGGACATATGCTTATTGACTCTTTGGTTAACTTTTTCCATGATATACTTGTCCAAGTCTTTTACTCATTTTTTTGGTTAGATTATTTGTGACCTCTCTCTCCCCCAACTCCCCACCCACACTCACAGTTACTAATTCTTTGTCAGCTATATATCTTGCAAATGTCTCCCCCCAGTTTGAAGTATGTGTTCTTTATGGTATCTGTGTTCAATCAATATTACTTAATCCACTTCTTAACATATGCAGATTGTAGAAAATTTGGAAAACAAAAATTAACAATAATCCTATCGTAAAGATAGCAACTCTTAATTGTTGGTATATTTTTATTTAGTGAAAACCTGTGAAGAAATGAGAGTTTATCTTAGATTTTTAGAATGAGAAGGGTCTTTAAAGGGAAATATACTAACATCTATTGATTATCTATAGCATATTAGGCTTTGTGGTAATGCACTTTACATGTGTTATTTTACTTAACTCAGTATCTTTTAAAAAGCATGATATAAAGTAATTATAGCTGTTCTAAGAGAGCCTCATTATTTTATAGAAATGTGAAGTAAAAGACTAGCCGTAAGGTCCCAGATTAATAAGTACAAAGCCAAGACAATAATCTATTTCTCCTGATTTCTATTTTAGTTATCTTTCCACCATATTCCACATTAAAAGTTTTGAGGGAGTAAAAATAATATGAACACATTTTTCTACACCTGAAATCCTAAAGCAAATGTTGAGATTTTGTCAATCCTTGATTATACACTTAAAACTGGATTACGGCACCTCGTATATGTCCTTTATGATTGTCTAGAAGAGGTGTTCACCTTTTTCCATTGTCTGCTATTGATTATATTGTAAAATCTATGTACTTAGTAGCTCACACTTCTTAAAACTGTGTGGTTTCAAGCATATTGATTTTCAAAAATGTTACTGATTAACCTGAATCACATAGTTGCTATTAAGATTCTGTTCAATTAGTGATCTCAACATTCTTAATATTACTTGACCAAAATTTTACCATTTTTGTTTTTAAAGAACATTTAAGTAAGTTGACTAAAGTTAAGAAGGCATTTTCTTGTTTTTAGTCATAAAAGAAAAAAGTAATATTTTATTTCTGGAACTATGAAAATTTTATCTTTGAGTCAAGGTCTTATGTTACACATAACAGTTAAGGTTGTTGGGCATATAATTATGGATAGATAATTGCATTTGGTAATTCAGGGCTAAGTCGAATGTAGGCAGAAATTTAAAAACAATAGTTCTCCATTTTTATAGGTAATCAATGCACAAACATTTATAAAACACCTTTGAAAAATGTACTATTCTGAAATTAGTTTTTAATGAAAATATAGACAATTCATATATTGCTGTTTTCTACAAAACAGGTAGAAAATTAAGTTTGCAATAGTACCATGTGAAAAAGAACAATATAGTAATAAGGAATTATGAAGGTGATTTTACAACATGAGTTGTAATTCACCATATACTGAGACTGCTTCTAAAATGTATTATCAAAAGAAAAATCCATAAAAATGTTTCATTCTGTCTCTAATGTTCAGACCTGTAAAACACGCACATTATCCATATGTGCTTTACAAATCAAAACAAAAGGGCTTAATCACAGATAAAGACATTCACATGTTCAATTTATGATTTTTAGAAATTCTACCCATGTGAACATTCATTTAGAAAACCATCACATTTGAAGAGGAGAAGAGTTTCGTATTAGTCCATTTTCATGCTGCTGATAAAGACATACTCAAGACTGGAAAGAAAAAGAGGTTTAATTGGACTTACAGTTCCACATGACTGGGGAGGCCTCAGAATCATGGTGGGAGGGAAAACTCACTTGTTACATGGCAGCAGCAAGAGAAAATGAGGAAGATGCAAAAGCAGAAACCCCTGATAAAACCATTGGATCTCATGAGACTTATTCACCATCATGAGAACAGTATGCGGGAAACTGCCCCCCATGATTCAAATTACCTCCCAATGGGTCCAGTCTCACAACACATGGGAATTATGGGAATACAATTCGAAATGAGATTTGGGTAGGGACACAGAGCCAAACCATATCATTCTGCCCCTGGACTCTCCAAATCTCATGTCCTTAAATTTCAAAACCAATCACGCCTTCCCAACAGTCCCCAAAACATTAACCCAAAAGTCCACAGTCCAAAGTCTTATCTGAGACAATGCAAGTCCCTTCCACCTATGAGCCTGTAAAATCAAAAGCAAGCTAGTTACTTCCTAGATTCAATGGGGGCACAGGTATTAGGTAAATATAGCTGTTCCAAATAGGAGAAATTGCCCAAAACAAAGGGGTTACAGGGCCCATGCAAGTCCGAAATCCAGCAGTGCAGTCAAACTTTACAGCTACAAAATGATGTCCTTTGACTCAGGTTACACATCCAGGTCACGCTGATGCAAGAGGTGGGTTCCCATGGTCTTGGGGGGGCAGCTCCGCCCTTGTGGCTTTGCAGGGTACAGCCTCCCTCCCTGCTGCTTTCACAGGCTGTTATTTAGTCTTTGCAGCTTTTCCAGGTACACGGTACAAGCTATCAGTGGATCTACCACTCCGGGGTCTGGAGGACAATGGCCCTTTTCTCACAGCTCTACTAGGCAGTACCCCAGTAGGGACTGTGTGTGAGGGTTCCAACCCCACAATTCCCTTCTGCACTGCCCTAGCAGAGGTTCTCCATGAGGCCGTCAGCGCTGCAGCAAACCTTTGCCTGGGCATCTAGGCATTTCCATACAACTTCTGAAATCTAGGTGGAGGTTCCCAAACCTCATTTCTTGACTTCTGTGCACCCATAGGCTCAACGCCATGTGGAAGCTGCCAAGGCTTGGGACTGGGACACAGGGCACCAAGTACCTAGGCTGCACACAGCTTGGGGACCTGGGCCCGGCCCATAAAACCACTCTTTCCTCTGGGCCTGTGATGAGAGGGGCTGCTGTGAAGGTCTCTGACATGGCCTGGAGACATTTTCCCCATGAACTTGGGGATTAACATTAGGATCCTTGCTACTTATGCACATTTCTGCAGCTGGCTTGAATTTCTCCCCAGAAAGTGGGTTTTTCTTTTCTACTGTATAGTCGGGATGCAAAATTTCCAAACTTTTATGCTCTGCTTCCGTTATAAAACTGAATGCCTTTAACAGCACCCAAGTTGCCTCTTGAATGCTTTGCTGCTGAGAAATTTCTTCCACCATATACCCTAAATCATCTCTCTGAAGTTCAGATTTCTAGGGCATGGGCAAAATGCCACCTTTCTCTGGGCTAAAACATAACAAGAGTCACCTTTGTTCCAGTTCCCAACAAGTTCCTCATCTCCATCTGAGAACACCTCAGCCTGGACCTTATTGTTCACATTGCTATTAGCATTTTGGGCAAAGCCATTCAACAAGTCTCCAGGAACTTTCAAACATTCCCACATTTTCCTGTCTTCTTCTGAGCCCTCCAAACTATTCCAGCCTCTGCCTGTTACCCAGTTCCAAAGTCTCTTCCACATTTTTGGGTATCTTTTCAGCAATGTCCCACTCCTGGTAACAATTTACTGTATTAGTCCGTTTTCACGCTGCTGATAAAGACATACCCAAGACTGGGAAGAAAAAGAGGTTTAACTGGACTTATAGTTCCACATGGTTGGGGAGGCCTCAGAATCATGGTGGGAGGTAAAAGTCAATTTTTACACGGCACTGGCAAGAGAAAATGAAGAAGATGCAAAAGCGGAAACCCCTGATAAAACCATCAGATCTTGTGAGACTAATTCACTACCATGAGAACAGTATGGGGGAAACCACCCTCATGATTCAAATTATCTTCCAGCAGGTCCCTTCAACAACACATGGGAATTAATGGGAATACAATTCAAAATGAGATTTGGGTGGGGACACAGAGCCAAACCGTATCAAGTTTGTAGTCTTGATATAGTTTGAGGAGCACCAGGAAAAAAAAGTCAAATCTTAGGGAGGTAGAGCTGACTGCATTCAGAGCAGGAAAAGTTTAATGATAATAAGGAAAGAAAGAAAAAAAAAGTTAATAAGGAAAGAAGCCACAATGCCACATGGTGGAAATGAACTCTTTCCTGCCTAGAAGTTTTTGCCAAAACATATCCCATTTGATTGTTAATTAAGACAAAGAGAGATGTTCCTGAGCTCTTTAGGAAACTGCTTGTGATTCTGATGTAAGGCATTAGCCAGGCTGCAGTTTGTGGGGCAGGTACCCTCAGGTCAATATCAACAGTGTATCAGTTTATGGAACAAAATTGTCACACATAATTAGGCTTTAAAAAACTCAAATACATGCTCCCTAACTCGATCTTCTCAAAATAGTCACCAATGGGCAGAGTGGGAATGGAACCCAGGCAGTATCACGCTGCATGGGGCTTCCATGTCGCCACGGCTCATGAAGCGATTTGTGACCACTGGAAGTAACCATAGTTTGTCATGCAAGGTAGATGATCCCAGGCAACTCACAGCTCCATGATCCTTCATTTTGCCTTTCTGACTTTTTTTTTTAAGCAAGTCAATGAGAGTGTTTTTTTTTCTTCCAATTTTCTTAACAGTATTTTCATTTTTATAGATTTAGAGGGTAGAGGTACAGACATCTTACATGCATATATTGTGAAGTGATGAGGCCTGGGCTTTTAGTGAATCTGTCCCTTGAATAGTTAATGTTGTAACCAATATGTAATTTTTCAAGCCTCACCTCCTTCTCGCCCTGACACTTTTTGGAGTCTCCAATGTCTATCATCCCACTCTGTAGGTCCACGCATACCCACTGTTTAGCTCCACTTATAAGTGAGTCAATGACAGTTTTACAAAACACAATATTGTAACTTTTGTCTTTTACTTTTCATTCTATGTCCCGGGAGGATTTCAAAGAACTTCATATACAATAAGAATATTTAACAGTTACCAAAAGAATAAAATTCTCTTAGAGAAAATTGTCAACATTACTAAATGTCCATGGCAATAGTATATATTGATGATGACAAGAAACTGACTACCAACAGACAGTCTTAACATTTAAGTTTGGCAAGTTTTTGGACCCTATCCCACCCCACTCCCCCAAATAAGACAGGGCTGAAAAAGACTCATCAAAAATTTCATTATTATTATCTACTTATGGCATCTTCTTTAGAATTCAATTTTATATTTAATCAATAACTTAAAAGTAAATCATAAGAGATTAATTTATTAAACATATTTTTATTCCTTTTTCATTTCATTTATTTTATTTTATTTAATGCAGGCATGGGAGTAAGGAGAGATGTCCCATTAACTAACTGCCTAAAAACAAGTTTCAAATAAAAATCATGTGCCAATAAACAGACCAGAAACAGAAATCATTTTCTATTTTATGCTATCATTTATTGTCATCCTCAGACTAGGAAAATTTCCAAAATAGAAGACAACTGAAAGCAAGAGTACTGTTTTAGAATTTAATCGCCTTAAGTATTTTTCTTGCAAATTCCTTAGACTTTATTTTTGCTGCTGCAAAAGTACTCCACTCAAAGCCAATACTAGTTTCAGTTCTTCCTGGCTATTAAGATCTTTCTTTTAGAATCAGTTACAGTTTTTTCCCCTCTGTCTTCGTATCTCAGTCCTGCCCCTCATATTACTCCATTTCTTGCAGGACTGATGCCGGTAGAACCCGTGGAAAGGCTTACAGTTCATGAAGATGTTATTGTTGTTGTTATTGCATTGGTTTATCATTTCTGCACGTGTTGGGGGATGACATAATGGTTTTAGGTTCTTCTGCTAAAATAAAAAATATTCTCAGAAAAGTAATTTCCTTTCAAAAGGTTAGTTTAAAAAATTCCAGTGGCTCATGCCTGTAATCCCAGCACTTTGGGAGGCTGAGATGGGTGGATCACCTGAGGTCAGGAGTTCAACAGCAGTCTGGGCAAAGGGGCAAAAACTCGTCTCTACTAAAAATACACAGTTTAGCTGAGCATGGTCGCAGGCACCTGTAATCCCAGCTACTCAGAAGGCTGAGGCAGGAGAATCGCTCGAACCTGGGAGGCAGAGGTTGTAGTGAGCTGACATCGCACCACTGCATTCCAGCCTGGAGACAGAGCGAGACTTAGTCTCAAAAAAAATTAATATTAAGCCTATTATAGAGATTAATTTTGCTGAACAATCAAGCTGATATTAAACAGAAACGAGCCAACTTATACAGTCAGCATGAAAATGGGATAAAAAATCTTTCCTTTTTTCTAACAGTAAGATCACAATTTTTTGTTGCTGTTTTTTTGTTTGATTTTTTTTTTTTTTGAGACAGTCTTGCTCTGTTGCCCAGGCTGGAGTGTAGTGGCATGACCTCGACTCACCACAACCTCTGCCTCCCAGGTTGAAGTGATCCTCCTGCCTCAGCCTCCCCAGTAGCTGGGATTACAGGTGCATGCCACCATGTCCAGCTATTTTTTTTTTTTTTTTTTTTAGTAGAGATAGGGTTTCACCATGTTGGCCAGGCTGGTCTTGAACTCCTGACCTCAACTGATCCACCTGCCTCAGCCTCCTAAAGTGCTGTGATTACTGGCATGAGCCACAGTGCCCGGCCCACTATTATTATTATTATTATTGAGATGGACTCTCACTCTGTCACCCAGACTGGAGTGCAGTGGTGCGATCTTGGCTCACTGCAACCTCCATCTCCCGGGTTCAAGCGATTCTCTTGCCTCAGCCTCCCAAGTAGTTAGGACCACAGGCGTGTGCCACCACACCTGGCTTTATTTTTTTTTATTTTTAGTAGAGATGGGGTTTCACCATGTTGGCCAGGCTGGTCTAACAGTAAAGTTATTCACCTGAAGGTGCATAAAAATTCTTTAGAGGTATATTTTATTTGGTGTATGGTTGGAGTTTTAGAGATAAATATTTCTGGACATTTGACAATTTTTTCCTATTTGTGTTTGTAAATTTGCAATGTGATACTTTTTGATGTGGGCTGCATGCTTCTCTTTCATTTTAATTATTACTTTATTTTTTATTATTACTTTAATTCAAGTTTCCATCATGCTATTTGCAGTGTGTGTATAGACTTGTTCTTACACTCTGCAAGAAGTTTAGCTTTTCTGGCGGCGGGCGGGGGTAGTTATTTTTAAATCTTCAAACTATAATTAGCAATGTTCATGACTCTGAACTCCAATAAATAATGGTTTTTGGCCGGGCATGGTGGCTCACGTCTGCAATCCAAGCACTTTGGGAGGCCGAGGTGGGAGGATCACAAGGTCAAGAGATCGAGACCATCCTGGCCAACATGGTGAAACCCCGTCTCTAGCAAAAATACAAAAATTAGCTGGGAATGGTAGCACAGGCCTCTAGTACCAGCTACTTGGGAGGCTGAGGCACAACAATCACTTGAACCCTGGAGGTGGAGGTTGCAGTGAGCCAAGATCTCACCACTGTACTCCAGCCTGGTGACAGAGTGAGACTCTGTGTCAATAAATAAATAAACACATAAACAAATAAAGGTTTTTTGGGATGGGTCTAAGACTGGAAGTGTTAATCACTATTCTCTTTAAATTCTGAAAAACAGATCCCCATTATCTTTTATAGACCATTATAATCTATGCTATACAAAGATATGTATTCTCATGCCTGAGCTGCCTTTGAAATCATATATGGCTAAGTAGCTGGTTAAAATTTTTAACTAAAAATATACATTTGCCAAAATTTTTGTCCATTAAATTTATAAAGGAAAGAGAGAAATGCTTCCAGTTTCAAATTTTTGGAAAGTTAATTTAAACATTTTTAAAAGAAAAATGTACATCTGTATTATAACAGGTGATCATTTTTTTTAGAAAGGCCAAAGGATACCCTTTATAACTATATCACAATGTTAATGGGTCATTTGTGTTTCCTCATCTGTTCACATATTAACAATTACCTATCTTACTCATTAAAAGTAAAAACAACGCAACAATTTGTATTTCAGCATTTTTTAGTATGTAATTTTAAAAACCTCATGGAATATATAGTAACATTTCTAAGAAATAATCCCTTTCTGAGGCAAGAATTTAGATCATATGGAGGATACAAATGCTAATCACTAGAAATAAACTAGTGACAACTATGTGAATTATTTATTTTAATGAATCATGATACATTAATTCTCTGTTTAATGATTTCAGAAAATAGAAATAAAATATGGTCATGTGATATAGTGCAGTATGGAAATCCACATAAATGCATAAAATTGTAAACTTGGCAAGAGAGTTAGACAAGGGGAGTAAAAAGGCCTACAAAATTTGAAACTCTTCAAGTGCTTTTAAGCCATAGATTATTAAGAATTATATTGTCTACTGGAAAAAAGGATATGTATGTACAAGTTCCCCACTTCTGTAAATCAGTTAAAGAAAAAAAAAACTCATAGAGACAGGGGTACATTTGCTTTAATACTTTATGATGATAGGCGACATTGATGAACGTATCTATGGACCAATGATCCTGAAATGTAACATCTCATGACCTGCAGGTGTTTCCACACTTCCTTCCCCTTGCTCAGGAGGTGTAATTACTCTTGCAGTTTGCCTGTGAATTGTACATGTTTGCTAACTGAATCTTGCCGCTTTCACATACTCTGCTATATGCCAGCACGATTTCCTCCACAGCCATGGGTAGCTGTCTTTGTCCTGAAGTTGTGACTCAGGACATCTAGAAAATACTCCTTTCCTCAATTCACTTCCTCGTCCTTCCATTGCCTTCATTTCAAATGTCTTTAAAGTGATTCAATTTTCTGAAAGTTGTGCCATCTAGTCGTATGTCAGATGAAGTGGAACTGAGTCCTGATTGTCTTAAAAGGTCATATAAATGTTTTGGCAATTCTTACTTTTGTGATCAACTGTAATTGTTTTTGGTTTTAGAAATATTCAGCCTAATGAGTTTGCATGGGAGTTCATGAAATAGTGATAGACTTGGAAATCACTCGCTTTATAGACATGTAATTGCACCCAAATATGGAATTGATTTGGAAATCACTAATTGTTTCTATCGCTTATGTCAGAGGTCTCCTAAGCCCCTGACCATCTGTGACCTGTTACGAACTAGGCCACACAGCAGGAGGGGAGTGGTGGGTGGGTTAGCACTCAGTACCACCTGAGCTCTGCCTGCTGTCAGATTAGTGGGGGCATTAGATTCTCATGGGAGCACCCCCCTATTATGAACTGTGCACGCCAGAGATCTAGGCTGTGCACTCCTTATGACAATTTAACTAATGCCTGATGATCAGAGGTGGAACAGTCTCATTCCAAAACCTTCCCCTGTATCCTGTGCCATGCATCTGTGGAAAAACTGTCTTCCATGAAACTGGTCCCTGATGCCAAAAATGTTGGTGTATTAGTTCGTTTTTACACTGATGATAAAGACATAACCGATAATGGGTAATTTATAAAGAAAAAGAGGTTTAATGGACTCACGGTTCTGCGTGGCTGGGGAGACCTCACAATCATGGCGGGAGGCGAAACGCACTTCTCACCTGGAGGCGGTGAGAGAGAGTGGGAACCAAGCAAAAGGGGTTTCCCCTTATAAAACCGCCAGATCTCGCGAGACTGATTCACTACCATGAGAAGGGCATGGGGGAAACCACCCCCACGATTCAGTTATCTCCCACTAGTTCCCTCCCACAACATGTGGGAATTATGGGAGGGAAAATTCAAGATGAGATTTCTATGGGGACCCAGAAGCCATATCATTTGGGGACCACTGGCTTATAATGCCAGTCTGGTCAACATCAAATGTTGGATATAATTTCATATTTTAAAATTCACTACAGATAAATTAGAGTCTATATATATATATATATATACACACACATAAAATTAAGAACAATATCATTTTTTCTTTCAACTATAATATGTCATATTAAGAAACTGCAGTTTTCCCTTTGTGAATAATATTTAAACATCAACATTTTTCTATGGATACCTTCCTTGAACTACATTTTCACAACTGCAAATTGAAAACTTACCTTAAATAATATCAGTTTGCTAATATGTTCAAAATAAATTTGCTTGTTTTATTCAATTTTCTAAAGTTAGGCAATGACTAGTTGACAGGGAATTTCAAATTCTTTCATATGGAAAGACTTGACTTTCAAAAGCCTATGTATTAGGTTGGTGCAAAAGTTATTGTGTTTTCTGCCATTACTTTCAGTGGCAAAAACTGCCATTACTTTTGCATCATCCTAGTAGTTATCTTTGTTCATGTTGAATTGTTGATACTTTCTAGAAGAGAAGCTCTTTTTTAGAGTTAAAAGTCTTATATAAGTTCATCTACTCTCAGCCTGAACCTTTATTATTTTTCATCATATATTATGCAAAATAATTATGTCTTATAAGCACATGAAGTTTATTTTGAGAATCTGATGTTTGGCCCTACTCATTATGGACTTTTGGCTACTTGATGTTAATCTTAAAAGCTGTAGTCAGAAGTCAAAGTTTGAAAGAAAGATAGCTTAGGCAAGTGCATGGAATAGACTAGGCTTAAACTAATGAAATGGACATCCTCCATGAGAAAGCTGAGCCCTCCAGGCTTAGCTGCAAAGTAGAAGGAGAAAAACTGGGATGTGCTCCATTGGTGCCGGTGAGGGGAGGAGGGGAGTCATCAGGGTTTCAGACATTAGAATATTAACTGTAAAGGTTTCTTTCCACACATTTATCTGTTCCATGCACATTTGTGTGCTTATTAGCTGCTTGGCTCTTGGGACATTTGGTGAATAAGAACCGTCCAGAACATGCCTTCAAGAGTTTATAGTCTATTGGAGGAGTCAAACAAACAAACGGATAATAACAGCATACATTAAATAATGGTAAATTAAGAATGCTGCTACGACAAGAGGATAAAGGAGAATATCTGACAGACTCACCTGAGAAAAATTTTTCTCTGCTCAGGTGACTTTAGTCAGAAGCAGAAGTGTTAAAACTATAAAGAACTAGGGGGAGAGACAGCTGTCCTTAACGAGGGGGCAAGAATGGGAATTAAAGAGCCAGTACTGGCAGGTGGACCAATAGACTAGGTGGCTGGAATTCAGGGAGGCAGAGGACGGAGATGATGTTAGAGAGAGACCATGAGACTGGAATGTGCATATTAAATCCTAAAAAAAGAAACACTTTTTTTTTGAAACAAAAGTATTTATACAGCTCTGTTTCCAAATCTGTAAACATCTTTAAGTCTCAATAGTTTATGTGTCATAATAAAACAAGAGTCTTTAAAACGCTTCAAAAGTCAAGTTTTACACTGAGACATTTAAATGAAGAAAACGAGCCCTTTCCCCAAATCTACAACCTACAAGTTAAATGCACTGACCTGTCAGAATCTATGTAAAGAACAATTTTCTAATAAAAGACTGCTTTATCATAAGAAGCATCGTTCCAGGAAATTTCCTTTAATATTCTTATCTGTCACTTTCTATAAAAGTCTTTTTTAAATTAAAAAATCTGATGCTGAAAGCAGCAGAGATCTGAAGTGAGTATATTTAAATACATGTGGGTGATACACACAAGCATGTTCCTCCCAGATCTGCAGGAAGATGAAGCAATGTACGCAATGAATTAAAATGATTGTCACCTAGTGGATTCCGGACACAGGGCAGGCTTTAAGACCCAGCGATAGTATTTGTCTGGAGAGGAAATGTTGCTTTTTGACAGATGAGAGAAATCCCCTTAGTGTTGGCTGTGGGAAGAGAGAAGCGAAGTCAGTCACCTGGTGGTGAAGGCCAGTAAAACAGCGAAGCAGGAGGAAAATTTTTCTCTCCCTCTCTCTTTCTCTCCCTCTTTTTCTCTCCGTTGGATCCACCTCCTATTCCCTCAACTCTTTTAGCATAACCTTCAAAGGAGAACGTTCCCTTCTGACTTGATTATCTTCTTTTCCCCACTGAGAAAATACCTCTCAGCTACAAGACATTTTTTAAGTCTATGCAGGACTTCGGGGATTCTGTTATCTTGCCGGGGAAACTGATCATTGCTAATGCCTGGGACTGGAGCTAAATTACCTACCAGAGTAAGCCTGACGGAGGAAGCCTTTTATCATACACTCTTCTCTTCAGTTTGAACACATTTGCTTGAAATTTGCCGCATGATGCTGACCAGGGAAGCAGCTTTTTTTCTCGGGATGCAGCAATTCGCTGGGTTCTAAGCTTATTGCAGAAGAAGAAATAATCTTAAATAGAGTGGATTTTTTTTTCCTTTTTTCTTTTGGCCCCTGTTTCAATCGACTCAGCTGTGTTGCACCGCGGTAGAGATCACCTGTCACTAAATCTTTGAGGAAGTAAAATAAAGTGAATTATCATTATTATTTATTTATTTTCCTTATTTTTAACCCGGTGGAGGCGGCGTGACCACGGAGAATGAGACTGAGAGGAGCTGCCGGGGCTTGGAGGAGGATAAAGCTGAGTTTAAGCTGGAAACTAAAAGACTAGATTGTTTTTGGGTGCCACTCGCCCGGTTCCTCTCCACTTCGTTTAGTTGCGCTCCATGGACAGATCAACGAACCTGGACATTGAGGAGCTCAAGGTACGTGCGGGTCCGGGCGGGCTTCGCGGCCGCTTCTCGGCGCTCCCTGCTCTCCCCTCTCCTTCCCGCGGCTCCTCCAGCGGCGCGGAGTAGTTGGTGGTCCCGCGGGACGACGAGGGGGCGTTGGGGGGACGCGCACCCGGGCGCAGGCGCCCCTGCTGGGGCCGAGGACACGGAGGGTGGTTCTCCCGAGCCAGGCTGCACTCCCGGGCTGGGCGCCCTCCCCGCCTGCTCCTCCCGCCAGCGGCCACCCCGTCCTCCTCCTGGTCCGTGACGGCAGCATTTGGGGTGCAGACCCTGCGCCTCTTGCCGGCTCGTCTCCCCGGGGGGGGCAGCGGCACCAGCTCTGCCCGCTGTCGCCTGCTTTCCCAGCAAAGTTGTCCGAGCTGCGCCGCCACTTTGCCTCCTCTTCCCGGCTCCGATCCCGCCTGTGCCCCAGCCCGGCACGGGGACAGTGCATTTCCGCTCGGAGATTCGCGTGACAGAGGCATCTGCAACGACAGCCCGTTTTTATCCCAGAACTTCGTGAGACCCCTTTTCCCTCCCACCGCCCGCGGGCAGTGTTTCCTCCCGCAGTTGCAGTGCAGGGGCTGGAGAGGTACCCCCGCTGCCGGGGACGGCTAGCCTGCCCTAGCCCCAGGCGCGGGAGCAGGTCCGGGGACTCGGGCAGGGGGCGGGGAGGCGGGAGCCGGGCTGGTAGGGGCGGCATCTGCGGAGGCTCCGGCCGCACACGGTCTCCCACCAGCCTGGAGCCCCCCGCCGCTCCGCGGGTTCCCCGCGCCGCGCCCTCTCCCTCTGGGGTCCCCTGCTTGGCCGTGAGGGCCTGCCCGGAGGGAGCATCCGGGGTGACAACGCGCCCCTCTGCCTATGGGCACCTCTGCCTGCTTCCCTTCAAGAAAAAAAAATATATATATTTATATACACACAATAAATAAAAACTTTAAAAAACCAACAAACCACAAAATACTTTAAATGTCCCGCTCACCGTAAACGAAAAAGCGGGAAAGGGGGCGACACTGGAAGCACCTCTTTTATTGAAATCCTCCACCCTTCTTTACCCCTAGGCATTTGGTACGTTCTACTATTTCAGAGGTTCAGATGGATTCTGGCTTCTTTGATCAGTGAGAATGTTTAGGCACCCCCCCACCCGCTGGAGAAACGACGAATAGAGGTTTGCCCTGAAATGTCAAGGAAATGGGTTTATCCGACAAGCTAGGCAGGCTGCAAAATCCCCTGCAGAGCTCCAAAGCCTCTGTCTGCAGCCTGTCCTGTGCCCTGGCCAGGGGGCACGCAGGAGCCCAGTTCTCCAGGCGCCCCAGATTGCATAGACGGGGAAGGAAGGAGGGACAGAGAACAGTGGCGCCTGCCAGAATCGCCCTGCCACTGACTGTAGATGCAGTCCAGGACGGAGGGAGGACAGTGAGAAGACCTAGAACACCACTTCCACCGAAGACTGAGTTCCCTGGGCAAAGGGAAGTAGGGAGGAGGCAGATTTGATGCTTCGTTTAAAGTTGGCCAACAAGTTTCTGTGTTTTTGCCAAGATCATAGTCAGTAGACCTTGGCCTGGGCTAGAAGTTTCCTCTTATCTCTCTGCTCTACTCCGATAGGACACATTGCCTTTATGTTTGCAAAGATTCCCTACTTCTCTTTCCCAAGCATCCCAGTCTCTTGGGAGAAGGGGTAGGTTTTATCTGAGATGCGAAGAAGAATGTATGATAATGATTGTGATCTGTGTTTTATGCAGAGGTGGAGTATCCAGATTATTTTTTGGTTAACTTTAGGGTATGACACAGAAGAGAGCGTTCTGTTAAGAGAAATGGAAGGGAGAAATGATTTGGGGTGATTCTTTCCCCTGAAATCCCTTTAGTTTCCTAGCTTATCCCACTCTGAACCCCAGTGCCAATACATTGTTGTTTAAATCAGCAAAAGAGCAAACCCACTGGGGAAACTTATGTCTAGAATTAGTAGAAGATCTCAGCTTAATGTCACTACTCCTGCACAGATAATCCAGAGATCCTCATAGCCAGAGTGTACTGGACTTAGTGCTCTGGCAGCAGAGGGTAGGGAACTGGAAAGGTTTGGGCATGAGGGGGTATATTGGCAATGACTGACTGGGAAGAAATGAAGGCATGTTAGATACAAGGATCTATTGAGGTTGTTGAGAAATTATGTCAAGGACAAGCTACTTTTGAGGGTCAAAACTGGCAAGTGAGGAGATGTAGTCAAGCCTTATTAGAAAATGTTTGAGATCCTCCAGTTTTGGGAATAAATTTATGTTGGCAGTTTTGACTACACTTGTGGAATACGAAGGCTGTGGAATCCTTCTGAAATATATACAGTTTGTAGAGATGGATGCAGTGCGCGTGGAATAACTTGTCTAGATTTCTTGTTTTTAGCGGAGTTGGTTGGCTTGGTTTCCTAGACATTCCAGTTCAAGTTAGTCTCTGGTGGCTTCTTGCTGAAGAGCCTCCCGGTGTGATCAGTGGAGAGAGGGAAGAAAAAAGCTAGGATACTTGTTTTTGGCATTATTTGCATGTTTTGACTTTTCTTATCATCTAATAATGCTTACATTAAAACACATCCACACAGAACTTTGGTTTTTATGATGCTTTAAATATACAAAAAATGTTTACTGGGGTTTGATACATAAATAAATGTGCATAAAAGTATAAAAATATAGTTTAGCTTAGTTTTAGATGATCAGTGTCATTGTTAGGTGAAGCTGCTTACCTCAGGTTTTAAGAAAGAAAGATTCTGATAATTTATCTTTATTTGGGATAAACTATTTTCTCTTTGAGATTTTAACAACAATTTTTTTATTTTTTGCTGTGCTGGGTGTGCAAACATTGGTTTTTTAAAATGTGCTGTGCAGTGTCAATAGTGTTTTCTTTTGCAAGCTTTTAAACTAAAGATAAGCTCTAATTGTTAAGCTATTGCTGCCATTATCATTAAAACTAAACAATATGCATGTTAAAGGATTTATTTGATGGAAAACTGAAATACAGTTATGTGTGTAAAACTTGCTAATGAAGGTAAGTATGTTTCATCTTCTATTCTGCCCACAAACTCCTGATGAAACACATCAGTGTTGAAAAGGGAGAGAGTTCTCATCCAAAGAATGTGTGTGTTCTTTTCCCTTTGATCTCTGTTTCTCTCTCCAATGAATGTATAAACTTTACTCTGGATTTTGCCCTGGTGTTTACTTTAAAGAAGAAACATCAAAAAATCCAAAATATGGGTTGCTGCTTTGGAAATGTGGGTGTTAATGAATATTGATATTAGAAAAAGCCCCCTCCATCCTGGAGTATCTCTGAGTTATAGAGTACTGGGTGCCTTTTAGCAGTCGAGATTTAACTGCTAGCTTTAGCCTTTATTTTAGCTCCATCGTTGCTCTCTTTTAAACAACTGATCTTATGCACTGGAAATGAGATGACTAAGTTTTAGAGCTGACACTTTAAATTTTGCTTTTTGTAAGATTTACTCATAGGAGACATTGAGGCTGAATAAACAGTTATAATAAAGTCTATGACTTTGTTGATTCTTTTACTCATCTTTTAAAATATGGGTACTAATTCACCTGTATTAATTTGGCAATTAAGTCATGCTTTCAGATGCTAAGAATTTATTTGTGGATAATTGTTATTTGCTTTGAGATCAAAAATATAAAATACATCATGAGTATAATATAATTTTTTTCAGTCAAGTTAGATCCTAGATTTTATTTATTTATCTGTCAGGATTGTTCTGTTAGTGGGATGACTGGCTGGAAGTTAAATTAGTTTTTTTCTGCTAATTGCAGAACATGAACGGTATGCTTCTGGAATATTTTCTTAATTATTTTGCACGTTACAAAAATTACAAACTACATAGTTAATCTTGAGACACATAAAACAACTTTTCAATAAGGATAATCTTACTTATTTGAGTTTATTAAATGTAGTCCAGTCACTGTTGCTTCATTTTTCTCTGCTTAATTGAATCAACATTTCATCTACCAAGAACTTGAATCTTGCCCTAGATAGGTGAGGAAAAACCTTCCCTAAATAATATAATGAGGTCATTAAAAAAGTATTATATGGGTGAGAAATGATAATACAGCAAAAAATACATAGGTATTTAAACAAGAGATTGATTAAAAAATGCTGAGGTCTTAAAGCAATGTCATAGTACATTCATCTACAATTTAAATCAAATAAGAGAGTTGGCACTTAAAAGAATTCTATTTTTTTCTTTCTTTCTTTTTTTTTTTTTTTTGGTTTGTTTAATCAATAAGACACTCAGCCCAGGAGAGTCAAGCTTGCTGCAGTGTAGGAAGCTTTCTGATGAATCTAAGTAGGTGGTATTTTGTTATGTTAGTCATTCTATAGTGAAAAATAGTACTCTCTAACAAATGGCATATTTTTAGCAGCCTGCCTTATATATTCATTTCTTGGCTGAGAAAGATGAAACATATTTGTGAATACTGAATTATTTGACTTGTTTCACATCTAAAGGAATCATAACTTCTTTCCCTCTAGGTCTAGTTCCAATTCACTTTACAAAATAGCAACTAGTCACAAAGACTTAGAAACAGGTAACCTTAATTTGAAAAATTAATATCATTTGACATTGATAAACTACAACTGTATACATTTATGGGTTATACTGTGATGTTACTATACATCTATAATGTGGAAAAAATTAAAGGAAGCTAATTACTATATTAATCACATCACTCATTTTTTGTGCTGAGACATTTGAAATGTACCCTATTAGCTATTTTGAAATATATATATGTGTGTATATATGTATACACACATATATATGTATATATATACACACATATATATGTATATATATACACACATATATATGTATATATATACACACATATATATGTATATATATACACACATATATATATATATACACACACATATATATGTATATATATACACACACATATATACCCATATATATATAATCTTGAATTTTTAATATTTGGAAATAAAGTTGTTTAATTGAAGTTGAAATTCAAGTTACAGTAGGGAAACATCACTTATGCCATTAAGAGGGATGAGGGAACATACTTGATATGAGTGGAAAAAGAATTAAGAAAAATACATTTGTGGGAAGTTGGACAAATGACTATTTTAGAACTCTTCAGTGGTCTACTGTCATTACTTAGCATATGTTCCAGCCTACATACTGGCTATTACAGTTTTGCTGATCTCCAGAGTTTACCAATTGAAAATACATCAAATGTTGAAGGCCCAGTAAAAAAGAATATTTTAAGATTTATGAACTCAAAATCATAGCTACACGAGATGGCTTACTGCTATAAGATAATAAATCCACATCTGTTTTTGGGACATTTATGTAATATTTAGTGCGCTGTTTCTTATGCTGTCTCAGAATTTCAGCTAAAATACAATTTGGCAGAGCTTACAACTTTAAGTTACTAAGGAAAATGACCGTTTACTTTTGTTCAAATTCTCTATGAATTTTTGAGAATATGCATTTAAATTGGTAACTGTTTAAATGAGTAAATGCTTACATGTCAAGGTAAAGATTTGTGCATTTATTTGTTGAGAATTGTGCTTGGTTTGTGATAAAATTCTTAGCTTCTAAAACTCTCTGTGACTAGAAGTAAGCTACCACATTTTCTATAAACGTCATTTTAGGCCGGGCATGGTGGCTCACGCCTGTAATCCCAACACTTTGGAAGGCCAAGGCAGGTGGATCACTTGAGGCCAGGAGTTCAAGACCAGCCTGGCCAACACGGTGAAACCCTGTTTCTACTAAAAATACAAAAATTAGCAGAATGTGGTGGTGTGCTTCTGTACTCCCAGCTACTCGGGAGGTTGAGGCGAGAGAATTGCTTGAAGGTGGGAGGCGGAGGTTGCAGTGAGCTGACATCTTGCCACTGGACTCCAGCCTGGGTGACAGAGTGAGAACCTGTCTCCAAAAAAAAAAAAAAAAAAAAAAAAAAAAGAATATATTAACATCCAAAGTTTTTATTTTACTCAAAGTCTCTTCTTTTTCTTGGCAAATGTCTAGAAACATGGGTTTATCTATATTCTCAGTGAAACTGATGAGAGACTTCTATGCTAACCACAGAATGAGCAAATTTAAGGTTACCACCCCTCCAAGAGCATTATGTAGCCTCACATTCTAAAAATTAAAAATTGTTCCAAATTGCCTTGAGAGTTTTCTTGAGGCTCCTAAACAACATGTTTGTACGTTGACTGAAAAATATGATAAGCCACAATTAGATTTTAGAAAACTTTATACCACTTTGCTGGTATTAAATAGGTTATCTAGAGTGTTCTATGCCAAGTTGACATATGAAACCTTTAAAAATAGAGGATTTTAGCATCCAGCCAGAAAAGCTTTAATTATCATGGCAATGTCCATCAGGGAAACAGGGGCTAAAGCTTCAGCCTTAGAAGTTAATTCCAACAGTCACCCCACGCTAAAATGGAGCTCAGAAGCAGTTAGAATTCAGAAGCATGCAAAGTACTAAAGCTCACACTGTAAATCTAACAGATTGTAGTGTTTGAGGAAATTCATTTGTGCAGTGGAAAAGGTGCTGATCTGGTTAGAGTAGTACTTGGGAGACATTGTTCAAACCCTGGCTCTGCCGTCTACCAGTAGTGGCACCTTGGGGATGTCCCTCAAACCTTCTTGGCCAAGGGATTCTCAAGCATTGCACGGTGGGGATTAGATTTTTTGAAAGGGTTTTGTCATAATCATTTTTTAGCCACAGTTGAAGAATTTGTCCAATGTCTTCGAAACAACCTAACATTTAACTGCAGTGAAAGGGAAGTTTGGTTCAAGACAGTCTGAGGAATCTCTCCATACTTGCCTTTGGCCTCTGCAGTTGACTCTGGGACCATGGCAAGAACTGTAGACTGAAGAATGGAAGGTAAAAACCTCACAACCAGTTGATCTCGAATTGTCTTCCAGGGCTCAGAGTCTATGGCTCAAAAATGACGTTTTTGTATCTTCTTCAAAGGAAATTATTTTCACATTGATATAGTTTATATAGTTCCTTTCATTCTGCAAATAATTCTTCATTTGAACATCAAAACAAGATTTTCTGCTGAATATTATCTTCTCATTTTATGGGTACCAAAATGGAGACTCAGAAAAATCAAGTGAAATGCCTAGGATCACAAGGTTAACAGATAGTAGAATAAGAACTTAAATTCATGTCCTCTATTTCCAAATCCTGTGCTATTATACATAGGCCAAAATTCCAGGGAAATCTTAAAGAACGTCTGATGGTAGAGATTTTTCACTGAGTTTCTCTAATACTCTAATTTCCAAGAAGAGTGACAGTATTTGAGCTACCATCATAGTATTTAATCTTGTTGCAAAGTAGTGGTTCACATTACAGTTTTTTTTTTTTTTTTTAACTAGTATCCTTATTCATAGTGACTTATTTTAGTTTTGGGTCAAATTACCGTTGGTTGATATTTGTTGGTTATTTGCATAATGTTTCAGTGGACATGCCTCAACACTTCACATCTCTTCATGCACATTCCGGTTTACTTCAAAATAGTTAAAAATGCAAACTTTAAATCTATAAGAGCTAAGAGCCTACTAAATATTTGTCTTTGCTGGAGGCATGCAATGCTTTAATTACTAACTCACACATTATCATTATCTAACTTATTTCCACACATGTTTTTAAACTCACATCTTTCTTTAGAATGGCTAGAAAAATACATGTTATCTACCTAAGATAAAAGACCCTTTGATTCTTTCCATTCTTGGGTAGAAGCAACCAATTCAGCTGCCATGAGTGAGAACATTTTTGTGAAACATGATACAATAAATCAATGTCATGAATGGGAAAACGCTGTTATCATTGTGATTCCAAAGTCTGTGTTTACTCAGAGTATTTGAGGGCTTTTAAAATCCAAAACAGAAGGAGAAACTAATTCAAGGAAATAAATCGCTTACCTCAAGATTTCTTGAATCATGTTCTAGCCTTCAAACTCTCCCCCAACATGGGATGCATGAGAGAGAAATTCTATCTCTTCTTACTACTAGAATTAGTTGTACTCCTAAGCAACTGATTTACATTTAATTTTATAAATCTTTTCCACCATAAAATCAATAGTGTTTTTCTACTTTAAATTAGTTCCCCTTTACCTTAGGAACAGATTTGTGGTCCATCTCCAACAAATACCTGTATCTTTAATTCCTAGCCTCATAATATTTTTGACTTTTGAAATTATTATTATGCTTTCATAAAGAATTAGTGGTAATAAATGTTTATACAGTTAAAATTATTAAAATCCTTTTTAGATACTCTTAATTATTTTCATGTTTCAGTAGATGTGCCTCAGTATTTCACATCTCTTCTGAACAACTTATAACTATGCATTTTTTTTTATTTTTTGAGACGGAGTCTTGCTCTGTTGTCCAGGCTGGAGTATAGTGGCACGATCTCGGTTCACTACAACCTCTGCCTCCTGGGTTCAAGCGATTCTCCCACCTCAGCCTCCTGAATAGCTGGGATTACAGGCACCCGCCATCACGCCTGGCTGATTTTTGTATTTTTGTAGATACGGGTTTCACCATGTTGGCCAGGCTGGTCTTGAACTCCTGACCTCAGGTGATCCACCCGCCTTGGCCTCCCAAAGTGCTGGGATTACAGGTGTGAGCCACCATGCCCAGCCTGCATTTTTCAAAAATTTATCAAGAGCTACGAAGATTATAAAGCTTAACTGTGCTGTGAGTATCCAGTTTTTGTTTGCATGACTTCATTTGTCTACGATAGTTGTGTAATTGGTGAACTCGTGTGCCACAAAATGAAACCCACTATATACCTAAAGTAAAAGACTGATATTTAATACTTAGGTTAACACCTCTACCTGTTCTAAGGCATTCTGTCTTAAATGATTATTTTGTTATTGCTCTCAAATTTGGCCTTTGTAGTGAATCATCACCTGTATTTCTAAATCTCTGTATTTCTGTTGTCTGTTACTTTGGTCTAGGGCAGAGACATTATTTTAGAAAAAGTTAAAAATAAATGAGCTATTTTAATCAACATTGTGTTTAAAGTTTTCAAATCTATTTTATAAAAATCAATGTTTTCATCAGGTGCTTGTTCTAGGCAGCAGAGACAGTTACTTTTATATATTGTATTTCATCTCATCAAGTTTCTTAAAGTCGATGCCTCAGTCATAGTTCCATGAATAATCAGGTCTGTGCACAGTGTCGTGTCTTAATGATAAAGCTCCTCATTATTAAATCATCCCTGGGAGAAATTATGAACATTTAGTAATTACAGTGTGTGAAATACACAGGTGGATTAAGCTAAACATATTTTTGGCTTGTGGCAAGGACAACTGAAGATCTTTTAAGAGCTTCTGAGTCCAATTACAATACAAACCTGCTTTCATTTTATAAAGATGAATATATTACATACGTATTTGTTTCATTTATTTCCTAAAACATTAATAGCTCTTAATGTATAACAAATAAAAACACAACTGACTTTAAAATGTTTAACATCTGCAAGTATCGACTTTTTTTTCAAACATCTGTTCCATATTTCGACTCAAAGTGAATTTCAGAAACTTCTGGAAAGATACGATTTAAGCCATAGTAAAGTTTCAGCATTTTATGATAACATGCTGTCTCAAACAATTAAATAGTGCTGTATATTGGTTTGACATTCATAGACTTCTATAATTGTGAAAATTATCTGTGAACATGCTCAGAGTGTAATTTTTTGTCTTCTCAGTCTCAGCTTTCTGATGTTTAGTGAGATGCACCATCCATCTTATTTGTAAACTCTGTGCCTATTCAGAGTTGTGGAGTTGTACTTCAGTGTTTTGCAACATGTGCAATGCCATCAAAATCCAAACAATTGAAATCTCATTTTTTCCCGTTGTCTTATTGACGAACAGTGTCACAGTACGAATGAATAAAAATAATAAGAAAACACATCAACTACAATTTGAGAATGTTAACAGCAGTTTATAGCTTGAAAGAGAAAGAATGACTCCAAATAAATCAAAAATAAACAGAATAAACATTATGTTTCTACCCCAAAAGAACATTTGACTTAACTGATGTTGTTTCCTCTTTAAGTAATCTAATGTCTAAAGTTTACATTATAAGACGTGTGATTCATTGTGGTATTAGTTGGTGTAATGCTTAGAACTCTCTGGTATGTGCATGATTGAATTATTAGCAAGAATTTAACTTTCAAAATATTTTCTATGTATATGCATTATATGAATATTTACCTATTTGATCTTCCACTCTCAGAATCATTTAATAGCTCGTTTGTGTATGCCACGAGAAAAACACAAATTCTGTTTATACATAAAATTTGTATGGGATTTTGTCTATGGTATTTTTCTATTCCCTCTTTACATATACTCCATAGACATTTTTATCTACTCATGTGGTTTCTACTTTCACTTGCAGGGTGATGATGCCCGGTTATGTATGGGCACCTCCCACCTTTCTCTTGGGCTACATGCACACCTCTCCTATTTCCAGCAATCTGCTAGAAATCTTTACCTGGATGCTTTGCAGTCACCCTGATCTAACAAAATGGAGCACACCTTTCATTCTCTGTCAAGTGTGCCCCTCCTGTCGTATGTTCTTCGTCTTGTTTAGTATTTCACCATTCATTTTGTCATCCAAGCTGGAGCTCAGAAGATCGTTCTCTACTTATCCCTTGTCATCATTCCGTACATCCAACTGGTCATTAAGACCATCACACTGTATAGTCTGCTTTTTTCCTTCTGTTAGAACCCTAGACCAAGTCCTCACCTTTTCTAATCTGTTTTATCCTAAGACATATGTATGTATTTCTTGCAGTGAGGCTGGCCATATTATAGTGAATTCTACTGTTATGTAGCTCTAGTGTTCAGGGTGGGTTTGGAATTAACGTGAAGGGATTTATGTATTCTCTCTTAAAGTTTCACAAGTCATTTTAGAATAAGTTGGGAAAGAGTGGAAACTGGGACACCAAGGGTGGGCCTGATGCTGGATGCAGAGGGATTTAGAGGTCTCTAAAAATGCCTAAGGGCACCCTCAAAAATGAGAAAAAGATGGCTCCTGGAAGTTAAACTTCATAGTAGCTGCTGCTGATGATGACTAAAATGTTCAGTTTGGTGAAAAAAGAACCACAGATTATTTGGAGATAATAATGATCAATTTTGATTTTCTATCTTGATGAAATCTTTGAGTTACACTCTTGCGGAGCCATGAGTTATGCTTAACAATCTCCTTAGCTGATTTTCTGTATTTTTGACAGTTTGGTCAGATTTCTTATAGTCAAAAATATTATCTGCCTCTGGGAATTTGACAGCTCTGTCCCTGTGAGGTGGCCCAAAGACAGTATGCTTACACAGTGAGCCAGCTAAGTAAGTAGGGAGGTAGGTAGGTAGGTCCGAAGGATTTCAAGGAAGACAGGCCAAGATATTTGAATTTCTGAGCTGCATATTAGTACTCAATGTACTCAGTTTGTTAGTTACCTGTAAATATGTTGCTTAGACGTCTTTGTAATTATTTTATCCTTGTTATCTTAGTCTTTCAGTAGAAGTTACTTAGTCATCATAGCTGCGTTTAGCTGTTCTATGGGGGTTACAATGTGGACTAGTAAGAGTAAGGCAATGTAGATGTGCATAGATCAAAGCAGGCATGGGATTGCAAAATCTAACTAAAGATGCCTGGTGATAGCAATAGGTAGTGAGGTATTTCGTAAGAAAATGTAATTTGCAAAGTGGCAGATTCTAGGAGGCAAGACCTGTTCATGATTCTCCAGAGACACATTCTTCTTTATTAAGGAACCACCTGGTTTCCTGACACTTTTCATCTACTTTCCCTCTGTCCAGCCAGTCTCCAAGCAAGTCACATCCCATACTTTCAGATTTCCCTTTATGAATAAAATAATGTGTCCTTCACTTGTTTGAAATTCATTGTCATTTCCCATTGCTTACGTTATAATCCACACTCCGCAACACAATATACCATGATACAGAGCTTGCTAATTTCCAGGCTCTCTGGAAAAGAGTACCCTCTTTTGTACTTTTCATTATGTGAACACGTGCATGTGCGTGCACATACAGATACACACACTCAAACACGGTACCATAACTTCAATGAACGACTAAGTTCTACTTAGTCATGCCAGTTCCTCTCCCTCTGTTGTAATATTGCATAAGTACTTGTCTGAAATACATCTTCTTTTCTTATATATTTCCTACTTATTGACCAGTAAACTAGTCCTAGGAAGAGATAGATATATCTTTTTTTTTGTGTTCCTATACACTTTGGATATTTAGCTGCATTGTACGCTTTTAACTAAATTGCATTGTGGTAGGAAAAAAATGGCCTGCATAATACCAATCATTTGAAGTTTGTTGAAAATTGCTAAGGGGCCAGTATAAAGTAAATATTTGTACATATTCTGAGTTTCCTTGAAAAGAGTGTGTATGTTTTCACTTGTTGGGGATTAATTCCTATATATGTCCATTAGATTAAGTTTATTATTTATGCTGTTTTAATTGTTCATAATCTTTCTATTTTGTTTGTTTAAACTACAAATTAGAGATATGTTAAAATTTTGTTTAGATACTGCATTTATTTCTTTTTGTAGCTTTCTCAATGTTTGCCTTATATATTTGAGACTATGTTATAAGATACATATAAGTTTAAAATTATATTTTCCTGGTGAATTAAAACTTATAGGTGATGACTTTCTTCATCCCTGCTAATGATGTCTGCCATAAAGTTTATTTTGTCTGATTTTAATATAGCTATATCAGCTTTTACGAATATCACTATAGCATTATCCAGCTTTATTTTGGCTAGTTTTTCTCATAAGTATTCTTTTCATTCTTTTATTTTGAACCTTTTTGTATATTCAGATTTTAGATACATCTGGAAAGCAGCATATAGTTAGATTTTAGAAATCCGTTTGGATAATGCTTTGCCTATTTACTGCATTTAGCTTATTTACGTTTATTGTAATATCTAATATATTGGGTTTTATTTCTGGCATTTTAGTTCATGAGTTATGTTTAATCCCAGAAATTACTTCCCTTTTATTTGAGGTACGTATGGTAGTAGCAAACTCAGTTTTCTTGATAGTCTGATAAAGTCGTTTTCTTTCTCTAGCTTTTCAGAATTTTTTTCTGGGTATACAATTTTAGATGAACAGGTATTTTCTCTTAGGATATTAAAAGTATTACACTGTCTTGATTCTCATGTTGCAAATGAGAAACCAGATGTTAATCCCTTCTTTTAGTTTTTAATGTTCTTCAATTTTATTATAATGTGTCTTTAAAAAAATTATCCAGGTTGGTATTTTATGACTTTCCTGAATCTTTATGAAAGAAGAAAAATATACTCTGTTATAAATAGAGTTTATGTAAGAACTACCATACTGTCTTTTTAAAGAAGCTTTTTGGCTGGGCATGGTGGCTCACGCCTGTTATCCCAGCACTTTGGGAGGCGAAGGCAGGCAGATCACTTGAGGTCGGGAGTTTGAGACCAGCCTGGCCAGCACAGTGAAGCCCCGTTTCTACTAAAAATACAAAAAATTAGCTGGGTGTGGTTGCCCATGCCTGTAATCCCAGCTACTGGGAAGGCTGAGGCAGGAGAATCACTTGGACCCAGGAGGTGGAGGTTACAGTGAGCTGAGATTGCACCGTTGCACTCTGCCGAGTGAGACTCTGTCTCAATAAATAAATAAATAAATAAATAAAAATTTAAAAAGGAGCTTTTCGCTGGCAACTGCAACCCATAATGATTTTGCTATACTTTTTCTAGTTCTCGTTTTTTAAATACATATTCTGTAATGACTCCATACTATCTGAAATGTGCAAAATATAATTAGTAAAAACAATGAGGATTATGGATTGTCTATGTTTTATATATCTACTAATGTTCTCTACCAAATCATGGATCCAGGTTAGATATTTATTACATCCTTGTTAATATATATTTGGCAATATTTGGTGTCTGACCAGAATTTTAAATTGGTGGAAATAGCACCATCTCTTTTAGTCTTCTGTTTTGGTTACTGGATCAAATACAGAATTAAAACACACGTTAAATAATGAAGTAAATGGTAACAAGTTACTGGGACTAGTGATTTACTACATATTTCTAGGCTTTTTTATAAGGTTATTACCATGTGGTAGTCACACAAGGAGTCGTCTTTGTGTGAGGTGGGAGAATGTTCCTTTTGGATTTCTGAAGCCAACTTTTGAAGTGATATATACCAAAATATTGGGGAAGCTATGTTTTTGTAGCTGAGTTCTTACTGCAAACTTTCTATCATGTAGTTGATTCTGAGTCTTCCATTTTAGATAGTGCTTAGCTTAGGGAGAAATTTCTTTTTATTTTCCGTATCTTTGGTGTTGGGTTTCAGAAACGGATGACAGTAAACCAAGTTTATTTCAATTTCAGATTATCCAGAGACTATTCGGTTCTTAGGCATCATAAGGTATGCTTTAAGGGTTGGTAAAATAGAAAGCAGCCCATTTAATATGATTTAAGATTCTCTCATCTCCTTACCATCTGGAAAAATATTTCCCAAATTGTCTGAAACTTCCATTATTTCAATCAGTTTTTGAATTAAAACAGTGGTTCTCAAACTATGCTTTCATGAAACTCATGCAATTTGTAACTAAAATTGAATGTTGGCAATTATCAGTTTTACATTTACTTTCCATTTGTTGTCTTTAATTGTTAGTGAGTACTATTGCTTCTCTGTGCAAAATAAGGTTTCTTTCTTATTTAGTCACACACACACACACCCACACATGCACGCATACACACACACACAGACACACACACACACTCTGTGTTTAAGCTTGATAAATGAAAGTTTTGGAAGCCATAAAGAGCATCATGACTTCTAAGACCTTGACCAGCCAAGCAGTTTGGGATGTATAAAAACAAAAACAAAAACTCTCATAAATATAATTATTTACCACAAATGCAAAATGAAGGTGCTAAAATAAATGATTGTGAAAAATTCCTTCTAATTCTCTGATAGACAACTACTGGTAAAAGCTAATACATTAAATCATTTGTAAGCATTAATATGTAAGCACTAATTGATTTATCAGATTTGCTAGCCAAGCAGGTCCTTCCAGGGGTGTTTTTTTTTCATAGGCAGGAATATTTTCCATGACAGAAAAACTGGAAGTGCCTCCCAGTTAAGCCTTGTCATTAATGCTGGACTCTTGAAAACTATGTTTTAACTTCTTGAGTTGGGCTACTTAGCCATAACTGCTTGGGGGATGGTGAAATGCCTGACCCAAGTTGGACTAGTGAGATTCTCTCTCCCTGGAATATGGATGACATAATCTAATTTTAACCTTATTGGATCCAATATCCTATATTTTAAGGCAAATACTTTTTATTTAGCCCCCTTTAGAATATAAAATGCTTTGATAATATAACTTGCACATAATTTTTACAAAGCCCTCTTTTGGATTCTCTTTTAAATGCTTTCATAGTCTAACCAACTTACATATAATTTTGAAAATGTTACGTAATTACGAAGGAGAAGTAAAAGTGAATAAGAGGAAATAATTTTATGATGTAATTCTATGCATTTTGAAATGTAAGTGCTAGGACACAGGGAATGCAAAAGCTACAATTGAAGACTCAGACAGAGATAACGTTGTGTGGGCCATTCAGATTCCTGCAGAGTGTTCCACATGGTGACATGGTATTTTTTGAAGTACTGAGCAACTCCTGGTAACTTCTGAACAAAACGAAATGCAGTGTTTCTCTCCTTTTACACAAAGGTTGTATTCCTGGACAATCAGTTACTTGTGCAAAGATGAGTTAAATTTTGTTTAAAAAAAAGTGTAAAATGGACTTAGGTTTCGGGCAGAGTCGTCGACAACTATTCCACACATTGATGGGTTTTCAGCATCTCGGGATTCTTCCTACTGCATAACAGTAGGAATCCTTCAAGTCACCATGACACCAAAAGTGTCTTCACAGATTTCAAATATTCATCCTAGGAAGGCAGTGTCACCCCTGCTGGAATTTTTGAACTAGCCTATGATAGGATAGACCTGGTTTATAGTGTTGCTAGAATTTTCAGTGAAAATTTGGAAACTAATCTTTTAGTTCACCAAGTGCGGTACACAGCTGTGGCCACCTGCTGCTGAAGAAGAATGAGGCAGATCAGAGATGAGAGAAAGAGTTCTGTTCTTTCTAGGATCCCGTGCTATTCACCTGAAAATAAATCTTACTCATTAGCCCTCTTCAACCTCCCACTCCCCCACTCCCATGTTAGTTTAGTTTGATTTATTTCATTTGCAGTTAAGTGTATTTTAATACACCCTTCTTCGCAAATCCAGGGGAACTTTGGGCTTTTCATGTTGATTTTGACTTCTTAGAGTAAATGTAATTATTTGCTTATGTAATTTTCTTTTCTTTTTTAAGTTCTAGGGTACAAGTGAACAACATGCAGTTTTGTTACATAGGTATACATGTGCCATGTTGGTTTGCTGAACCCATTAACTTGTCCTTTACATTAGGTATTTCTTCTAATGCTATCCCTCCCCCTATACCCTACCCGACGACCGGCCCCTGTGTGTGATGTTCCCCATCCTGTGTCCAAGTATTCTCATTGTTCAATTCCCACCCATGAGTGAGAACGTGTGGTGTTTGGTTTTCTGTACTTGTGATAGTTTGCTCAGAATGATGGTTTCCTGCTTCATCCATGTCCCTGCAGAGGACATGAACTCATCCTTTTTTATGGCTGCATAGTATTCCGTGGTGTATATGTGCCACATTTTCTTAATCCAGTTTATCACTGATGGACATTTGGGTTGGTTCCAAATCTTTGCTATTGTAAATAGTGCTGCAATAAACGTACGTATGCATGTGTCTTTATAGTAGAATGATTTATAATCCTTTGGGTATATATCCAGTAATGGCATCATGGGGTCAAATGGTATTTCCAGTTCTAGATCCTTGAGGAATCGACACACTGTCTTCCACAATGGTTGAACTAGTTTATGTAATTTTCTAAGAGTTCCTACTCTAGTTGAGTCTAAATCGTCCTGAAACTGGATGCTTCAGGATCCTCTTATCTCTGATTTTAATCAGAATTGCCCAAGCAGTTAGAAATGGGGCAAGGCAGGGTGTCATTTGCAAGGGCCTGGAGCTTTGTGTCTCCACTTTCTTTTTCATTCCAGTGAGCCATTGTTGTGGGTAACCAATATCAAGAAAACATGCTTACTATTATGTCTCTGATTCTTACACTTAATGGAATAAGACTAGATAGCAGGAAGTTTGGAGTAAGGAACTGATGTATATAAACGTCAGTTTGTCCAAAGAGAGCTACAAAACTGACTTTTGAAGTACTACTTCCACATCTATTAATGACCTCAAAAACTTTTGGTTTTAGTATATTGTTTAGACTATGTTGAGGAAAGTGCTTTTTTTCTATTATTTCATTTGTTAAGTGTGCTTGTAGGCAGTGGTATTTTTAATTTGTTCTTGAAATTATTTTAAGATCCATATCTGTTAGTTATATGTATATTATAGATCCAAGCATTTCAAAGGCATTGTTAGAACAATTTGTGTACCATTTTTAAGAATTATGTTTAACAAATGAGTATCTGCTTTTCTCTATTCTTTTTACAACTACCATCAAAGTATTTTTACACTTTTTTGTTTATTTTATCTCAAGCAGCTAAAAACAGTGCTTTACACACTATAGGCACTTCAGGAATATTTGTTGAACTAATTCACCTTTGAATGAAAGTTGCTTTGGAAAACTGGTCTCACTGCTATTTCGCCTTCAAATTCATAATGAGACATAAGTGAGTAGGTGATTGGGAATGATCTGTATGCCTGGCACAAAATCTCTCCTCAGTTAAACCTCCTGTTTCCTTCTGTATTCACTTAGATGAGGTGAATAGTAGCATTCCGGTAAATATCTCAGCTACTCAGTATCCAAAGACCACTTCTGCTATTGAATAATAAAATTAATGGGATACGAACAGTGTACTGCATCCTGAGATAAAGTTCCCATCATAGTCTGGGATGAAATTCCCATCATAGACATAAAAGAAAAAACACACCTTTCTCAGATGACCATTCTATTGAGTTGGGCATTTCTGATTTTTGACCAACGAATAATAGGAAATAACTGATAGTTTATGAAAGCAGAAGATGCAGTTGATATATCTTATACATCAACATGTATGGATTATATTGACTCAGCAATGTATTTTAACTGAGCACAGTCAAGATTGTGTTTACATTTTATACAAATCACATACTTATATGTATATATGTGAACAAACACAAGAGAAAGGAAAGTATAGTATCATGAGAGTAATCCACATGTATGATCCCTGAGAGACTTGAATTCAAGGAATGTTAAACTCTGAAAAGAAATGAATTTAAATCATGATTAATAAATAAACATGATATGCCAAGTATCTTGTAAAAAAGTACTCAATATGTAGTTATTGAATATAATTTGATTTGAGTAGAAAAGCTCTTTATCTTCCTAATCGTGGAGAGTGCAGGGTAAAACGATTTACAGCGTGTTTGTTGGAGGAGAAAACGAATGTAATCTAACGATCTTTGAGAACCCAGTGATCGCTCATTCTCTTTGTTCAGCTTTGGCACCACATAGACAAGGATTCATTTTCAGCGCCACTTGTGGGCTGTGTGACCTTGGGCAAGTGATTTAACTTTACTAAATGTCGATTCCCTCAAATGGTAAAATGAGATTAATAATTGTACCTACTGCATATAGATTGTGAGACTGTAATAGGATAGTTATGTGGGTACAGTCATCAATGTTTCACACAGAACTATCCATCCATGCGTCAATTATTACTCAGTTATTGTTAATATGTTCATGAGGGCTGGTGAAATGAGTGAAACATGATTGGGCTGTAAAAAAACGAGTGTACTCATGTGGGTACACTAGGAAGAAAAGCTGATAAACTGGCTGCAAGAAACAGTATTGGTAGGTGGCCATGTTAAAATCTGTCCTGGGATGAGACTAGAGTGTTGGTCTTTGCATGGATGTATGTTAGAACTAAATGTAAGTGCTTGAGTTTAATAATATCAAAAGCTCTCCAAAGGTTCTTAACTGCCTAAAGGCAGCTTTTAATTATAAACACTGAGAAAAGTCAATCAGCCTACACCTAAAAATATGCATTGGGATGTGTTCTGCATGCATTAAAACCTAATTTCACATCTCACCAAGTTTAACTACTTTTTTGCTAAACTAGTCTCAGGTTCTGGGTATTTGATTTATAATAGGGCAATAGGCTCTTTTATATAGGATTCTTTTAAATAACTCTTCCATCTCTTTGTATATATGCTTTCAGAAATGTTGATTCTTTGAGATATTTAAAAATACAAAGTCTTTCATGAGAAACTTAAAAAAGTTACCCACTAAAAATAAGTTTCCTCTCAACCCACAAAGAAAGAAAAATTTAATAGAATAGAAAATCACAATTTTATTAAAATACATGTATTTTATGTAAATGGGCTATATTTTACATAGAATTTATTGCATGTATGTTTACCGAAGGAATCTCCGCCTCCCAGGGTGAAGTAATTCTCCTACCTCGGCCTCCCCAGCAGCTGGGATTACAAGCACACGCCACCCCGTTTGGCAAATTTTTGTATTTTAGTAGAGATGGGGTTTCACCATTTGGCCAGCCTGGTCTCTAACTCCTCACCTCAAGTGATCCGTCCAACTCAGCCTCCCAAAGTGCTGGGATTATAGGCATGAATGCCACGCACAGCCAGAGCCCTAGTTTCTTAAGTCTTATTGCTATCACATTGCTTTGCTTGAAGACTATACAGGAGAATTTCATTTTCTAATTTGTATAAGTAGATAGGCTAGTTCATTTGCCTATGCTAATATTTCAAAATGCTAAGTAGAAAACTCAGTGCATGCAAGTCAGGAAAACAAAGAAAAGGCACGCCAGTCTCGTCCCTTCCACGTTTTTAAGTATGCAAATTGGGACAAGGGGGGGCAAGAATCTTGGTTATAACCCTCCTAGATTGGTATAATTCATCCTTTCAAAGGTCCAGCTTTCTGGTTATAGAACTCAAACCAAAACGATCACTGAAATTTCAGGAAAAAAAAAAAAAAGAGGTATTTTTGTTAGTTCAATTCTTTTTTTTTTTTTTTGAGACGGAGTCTCGCTGTGTCTCCCAGGTTGGAGTGCGGTGGCGCAATCTCGACTCACTGCAAGCTCCGCCTCCCGGGTTCACGCCATTCTCCTGCCTCAGCCTCCCAAGTAGCTGGGACTACAGGCGCCCGCCAACACGCCCGGCTAATTTTTTGTATTTTTAGTAGAAACGGGGTTTCACCGTGTTAGCCAAGATGGTCTCGATCTCCTGACCTCGTGATCCGCCCGCCTCGGCCTCCCAAAGTGCTGGGATTACAGGCGTGAGCCACCGCGCCCGGCCAGTTCAATTCTTAACTCTACTCTGTGGGGTTAATATTAGCTGTCGGAATGCTTACTTTTTGATCCTAACAATTTTTTTTTTTTTAAGAATATAAGCGCATAAGCAGGACATGATACCTGAAAAGTCAAGAGCATCTATCCATTCCCCTGAAAGATTGTCTTCAATATGATGGTAAGATTCTTTACCCTTTAATCTTCTCTTCTACCCTAATCCCATGTGCAGAAGCAACGATACCCAAAAATCTCTCTATAACTCTTTTGTGGCCTGGGATAAAAGGAAATAGCTCAAGAAGTGAAGAGTTTTATTCTCTCCTAATTCTAGTCTGTTTTATTCTCTCCTAATTCTAGTCTTCTGTTTGTAACTCCATCACTGCTGCAGCTGCAGCTACTATGACCAAATTTAATGCTTGTATTTCTTTAAAATACTTGCCCTTTAGAAGATTCCATTCCAGGAATATAAAGTAACAAGATGCTTTCCATATTTTCTTTAATAGTGAGTTCATAGCAATAAGGATATCTATATAGTTCTCTTGACAGTTTCCTGGGAATTCTGTATATTTATACACAACTTGTACAGGGTCTTTGTTACGTCCAACATCCTTTAGAAAGAATAAGCTGGCCAGGTGCGGTGGCTCATGCCTGTAATCCCAGCACTTTGGGAGCCCCAGGTGGGCAGATCATGAGGTCAGGAGATCGAGACCATCCTGGCGAACACGGTGAAACTCCGTCTCTACTAAAAATATAAAAAAGTTAGCCAGGCGTGGTGGTGCGTGCCTGTAGTCCCAGCTACTCGGGAGGCTGAGGCAGAAGAATGGCGTGAACCCAGGAGGCGGAGCTTGCCTTGAGCCGAGATCGTGCCGCTGCACTCCAGCCTGGATGACAGAGCAACACCGTCTCAAAAAAAAAAAAAAAAGAAAAAAAAAGAATAAGCTAAAATGATACTTAAAACATCCTTTTTTCTTGAAATGAGAAGTGCCTTTGCTTTCAACCATATCCCCAGAGAATGCAATTAGTGGCTCTGGCAGATGTTAATAGTAATGGGTATCAGAGTAGATGGGGCCACACTTGAGATGTTCTGGATGCTGCTCTTCTGAATTAGCTCAATTTTCTCCTAAATGACAAAGAAATATTAAAGATACACTGTTGATGAGGAAAGTGTCAGGCAACCAACAAGGATGTACTTCCAATATTCAAACAGAATGCAGGAAAAATGCATTCCAGAAGTTGATGTTTCTGTCTTCGGATTAAAGTTTGTACTGTCTCATCACATTATATCTTTGTTTGCATACAGGCTGCCAAAGAATTTTACTTTAAAAATATGTTTTGTCAGTCTATTATCAATGAAAGAACATATAGGACTTTAATTGTAACTCTTAGAGGTTTATTACTATTCCAGAGCTCTTTAACAACTGATCAGTTTGGCAGGGTCAGACTGCCTTAGCAAAAGTTTCAGTTCAGCTTGTCTTGGCAATGAAGTTTTGTAATTTGGACTAGGAAAGATTGTATTTACTTCTCCCCTTGTGCTAAAAATAGCCCACAGCAACCTAAAAAATGTCTTACCTCCAGCTGGCCCTGATCATCCTGAGCTAATCTTTAAGTGGCAAATGCAACTATAAACACCTATAGGCATTGCTAGATAGACAGATGTAGGTGTGTGTATGTTCCAGACAGAAATCTAAAATTGAGACTTCCCCGAAGGAAGTAAAACAGTGCCTGTAAAAATATGAAGTTCAGCAAGATTTTGATTGTTTATGTTATATTCAGATAATGGAATTTTTCTGAAAGGTTTTTTCTTCTTGCGTATACCAAATGCAGTGCATTTTAGGAAAAACGTTTTAGAGGCACCCTACTAGAACTACTTTAATAAAGTGAAATATTCATAAAGTGAAATATTCATATTAATATCTTGAAGAGCAATAATTATCTTTGTAACTGTGATATATCTAGTTTAATGCCACAGGATGCCACAGTTTACTTCAGTTAACTAAGAGGCATATAAACTAATTTCTTGTACTGTTTTACATATTCAGTAATCTACATGATCATTACTTAAAGTTGAAAAGAGGGAGTTGTTTCAAGATTAAATGTTAAAAGATGCAAACTATCCTGCTCATTTAATTAAAGAAGCATGCAGATGAGTGTGTGGGAAGAATATCAACCTTAACATTGTGTGTTATACATAGTATCCTCCACTAGTTTTCATCACAGTCTCATTATCTGCAACTTCGCTTTTCTGTCTAAGTGAAAGAACACCTGCTCTTCATTTCTTACTGAGTTTGCGGTTTTCATTTGCTCTGGTAACATCTCTAATGACCAGTTGCCAAATTATATCCTTAAAATTGCACCATCAGCGGCCTAGATAGGCAATTATTTTTGAAAGAAGAAGGTAAGTCAAAGTGTTCAGAATTTGAGTCTGAGGTTTCTTAAATATGACCTCTGTGAGGAATATGCCTCCCTTAGGAAGATAAATTGTAACGTGAGCTCCCCACGATTCAGGGAACTGCCTGAGATTGCACAGGAAGATGTGCATGTCTAGCATGACAAAATATTCTGACAAAACCTAAGAAGCAATTAGAAACAGTGCAGAGGTTTCAGATTTCAACTCTAACTTTGATTAGCTAGTATACTAGATATTATATAAGTGATTTATATGCATAGACACATTAAAGTTGGATGAGTTAAAATTAAAACAGTCAAATAAACCTCAGTGAATGTGAATTTTTAGGACATTAAATAAAAGCAGCAGTGTTGGGATTTTAGAAACTCCTATAAAGTGAAACACTGTTTAAAGTGATTTAAATAATACATATATTTGTATGCTTTTCAGGCTGTTTTGCATGTTCCTTTAAAACAAACCAAAAATCAAACTTTCTGCTTAGTTATCGTGACAGTATTTTGTAATTGTTTAAAAAAAGAAAATAATTTTATATTATGGATCATTCTATTAGAATAAATATTTCAATGCCACTTTTGGTGCCTAACTTATTATTATATAAAAATTGATGTTTTTTTTCACATGGCTGATCATCAGAGAACATTTCATTATACTAGAATAAAAATTATGAAAGGCTAAAGTGAATATACAAAAGCTTCTATAAGTTAATGAAATAGGAATGCATTTTAAAATAAAATAATAACTTAGGCAAGTTTAAAATTATTTGTATTCTGCAAGGTCAAAGAGTACAGCTGAACCCCAAAATAAGTATAATTTGATGTTGTTAATAACTATTCATAGCTGCAAAGCTTAGAATTGTGGTTTTTTAAAAAGAGAAATATGGTCCTATGGGAAAATTAGAACATATTCTCCTCCTTTTATTAAGGAGTATTCTAGTAATTATAAATTACAAGTTTACCATCTTCTCAAGACATAAAACAGTATTATATCTAGTAGAAGGATAAGTTAATGGGGTTTATGTTAAATATCTTTTCACTTTTTTGCTACCTTAAGTCTGTGAAAATTATTTATTTTCAAATGTAGAGAGATTTCTATATTTCATTAAATTTATAAATCTATGTAGGAATGTGGCACTTTAGATATCTTATAAAAGCAATTAGGATTTGTTTCTTTTGTTTTTGTAGACTGATAATGCATAGCAAATAGAAAGATACTAGACAGGTTTTTAATATTTAATATAATTATTGATACTAAAAAGCCTATACTAGAAAAATCATTTTTTTCTCAAATATACATCTTTTTTATTTGGCTTTTTAATGTTTCACATATAGAAACATTGAATTTTTTCTGCAGTAAGTTTAGGTAATATTTTTCTATATAATTACCCAAAGGGAAAAAAATTTTTTGTGTATATTTTACTTCTGTTAGTTGTTACTTTTTATAAAAATCAAAACCTCTAGAAGATACTTAACAAATAATTTGAGGGGTAGGATTACTCTTGTTGCAATTATAAAGTTTAAACCTTAAGAACTACTAGACTTTAATTTTCCTTCAACTTTATGTGAATTTATCTTTGATTAAAAGACAATTATTGAAAAATGCATTTAGTATACAATTATGCTTGTCTGACAGAATCTGTTTTCCAACCTTCCCCTTTATGTCGCCCCTCAAGAGTGAAAATATGGTATTAAATGCTTTTGTGCATTTAGTTAAATTGTTAATTTTATCACTTTTCATTCATTAGAATTTTGTTTTATGATGTTAAGCAGAAACATTAAGAGGTAAATGTCTACAGTGAGTTGTCATGCTTTTCATTTCAGCAGATCTGTGATCAGTTATATTCATTACCCCAAAGATAGAAGGTTAATACTGTCTCCTTTTTAAAGTAATGATGTTGAAGTCTTTTTAGTATGTTTTAATATATTCCCATTTCCAGCTGTGGGTGGTTCTTTAGTACTTTGAGAAAATATGTCTAAAATAATCATGTTTATCGGCTGTGTAGATTTACCAGTCAAAATTCTGCTTTACCTCTAAGGACTTCACAAGCCTATTAACTAAGATGCCAAAACAGTTTTGTTCTTTTATCTCTAAGTTCATCAGGTCTTCCTAATGAAGCCTCTATATTCAAAATCATTGACAGATAACATATTATTCCAGCTGTAGCCAAGGCTCTCAGTCTACAGAATATATACTGAAATGGTTAGAAAGTGGCAAATTAAATTCAAAAGATACTATCAAGGAAATAATTCCCCAAGTTATTTTAAAAGGAGAAGCCAAACAATCCTAAACCACTCTGCAAGACGCCTTGAAACGAATAACATAAGAATCTAAACTCCTAGGATTTTTTAAAAAATGTTGGGCTGATCACAAAATTAAAATGATCAAGCAGAGTGAATCCACCAGTGTGTGGCTTCAAAAGGATTTTCCTCATGTATATTTCTGTGCAAAACAGTCTCTTCTTGAAATGAATTGGCCAGTGTTGGTGTAGGATTGAGTAGCTAAATCATTATAAGAACAACTCAAATTAAGAACAATGAGCCTTAAGAGATTTAAGGAGCTCCTTGAGAACAGGAAACCTAGAACTAATTTTGAACATATTGTTATTTAGGCATCCATGCAGTCGTTTCTTGAGATCCCATAGTCAGTGTAGGAGAAACTTTAAAGATTTTTGCATCTTTTCTATTCACGAACGTCTGAGTATTGTGAGCAACTTGACTAATGTAGACACTCAAAACCTTATCTGATAACATTTCATTTGTTCCCTTTCTTAATCAGTCTGACTTTTGTTCAGTATTCAAGTTAAACTTTGAATTCTCATGTAACTAGAAACCTTATTCCAAAAGTGAACCCTAATCAAAGACATTTCCAGAAAAAGATGAGTTTCCAGTTATTTACAAAATGGAATTTGGATGCCTATATAATTCATCCTACTAAAAAATCAGTCTGTTTTATGATAATTTGGTCAAGCTGATGAACAGTAGTTATTAGAAGGGGAGAGGTTGAAGATATAAGAATATTGGGAAATAATTACTAGAACCAGTCCCATTCATAGGCGGGCGATAATAGGATCTAGAGAACTAGTTTAGAGATGATCACATAGAAGAAGGTATGATATTGTTTTCCAGTGAAAAGGAAGAAAGGAAGAGTGGAGGTGCAGGTTAATATGTAGTCGGTGTGGCAAGACACAGAAGGGGTTCCTATCTGAGACCTTCTCTTTTGACTGTTGCATTGGAGGCAGGTCTTTAGCACAGAATGAAGGGATGGTTGGTTGGGTAGATAATGAAGGATAGTAGGAGGTTCATGGGAGGTGGCAGATAATGTGAAATAGTTGTATGGACAATGAGAAAAAGAATAGACTTCAAAAACACAGAAAGCACATTGGGAAAGGTAAAGGAGTCTGATTTAATTGTGAATTGAAGCCTACCCTAGAGTGAGAAAAGTAAAGGACTTTTTTTTTTTAGGCAACCAGTAGTGTCTGTTACTTGTGGTGGCCAAGGATAAGACAAACTTGAAGTATGTGAGTATGTATTATATTCTGTCTGTTGATATCTGTAGGTTCTGGAATTCTTTTTATTAACCCCTAGATATCAACATATAGAATATCTGTGTAGGTATAGATACATCAATATCTAGATATAGCTATATATATCTATATCTATATCTATCTATATATCTATGTATATCTATATCTATCTATATCTATATCTATATATGTATATATCTATATATAGAGAGAGAGAAGCCTGGGTGTTGCAGGGGAAAATTTGGACAGTTGGATTGATCCAAGATTTCTAGGCAAAGGCAATAGAAGACTGAGGGAATAAAGGAGGCAAAGATATTGAAATGCTGGATGTGGGGTTCTAAACTGGATGAAAATAAAATAAGAAAAGGTTTAATGGGAGTGACTGAGTAAGAAACGGCCAATAGGAGATTGCTTTCAGAGAGTAGGTGGCTTAAGTTTAGATTTTAAGAGCTAGAGGAGGTGCAGCTAAGCATGGGCGCTGGTGTGGACGTCTGCAAGGGACGGGTGATAAAGTACACTAGAGATGAGCAATACAAGATCATGAGGGAGTATTGGATTGCTCATACTTTGCATAGGTATTTAAGTCATTCAGGAAGATGGAAAGACTTGGGGTCTAGAGGACAGGGAGTGAAAGTGAGTGGTTACAAAGTCAGCTGTTGGGAGGTAATTGATCTGAAGACAGCCAAGAGCCAGGTTGCAAGTAAGGCACAGAGGCAAAGGGTAAAGTCAGAGCAACAGACTGTGACTTTAAGGAAGTTGTTATGGAGTAGGGTTATAAAGGACACAGTGGGAAATTGGAGAAGGAACAGTATTACGGAAACTGAAGAAGAGGAATCACAGAGAGTGCTTATGGGATAATGTATTGGGAGGAGAGAGAGCCATGAATGACTTCATATCATAAAGACAGTATCAGCTACAGTGTTTTTGGCTGAAAATAACAGTAAATCCATCTAAAAGTGGCTATAGCAAATGCGTATCACCCCACATAAACACCCAGAGTTTGTTCAGTTCCACAGTTAATTCTGCAGCTCGATGATGGTAGGATTCTAATTCTTTCTACCTTTCTGAAAAGAAATCCTTTCCTTATTGTCCTTTTGTTTTGTGATTCCAAAGACTTGTCCTCTTAGAATCATAAAATAATGGGTAAGAAGCATTATGTTTTGGTAATGAGTAAGAAGTATTGTGTTTTCGAAACACATTACCTGATGGGAAAGAAGAGAAATGATTTTTTAAATAGTGTGAGTAAATCCCTCCCAGAAACTCCATAACTGCCATCTCCTAAAATATAATTGGTCAAAATTACATCCTATGCTCATAACTAAACCTATGACTTGGCAAAGTTGGAGAAGCCCCCATGATTAGCTAAGAACAATGTATATTTACTTCCGGGGGCTGGGAGAAGTACAGCCTACGCTAGAGTATAAAAAAAGTTTTTTTAATTAATTAATTTTTTTAAGGCAACTACTGGTATCTGTCATTTCTGGTGGTCAACGATAAGACAAACTTGAAATATGTGAGTTTGCCTTATGTTTTGTCTGTTGATATCTATGTGGTGTTGAGCAATTTAATTAGATCTTTTAAACTTCAATCTTCTCACTTACAGAATTGTGATTTAACTTAAGCAAAATGTCTATCCCACAAAAAGAACTAAATACTGGCTTCTTTTCTCTTTCATTCTTTTTATACTTAGGTATTTAACACAAGCTGAAAGCCACTTTTTTTTTTTTTTTTTTTTTTTTTTTTACTATTATGCTGACACGTAACTTCGCTGTTCCTGTGCTTGGCCATAAAAATAAATGAAAGAAGAGATATGGGAATAAAATGTGAAAATTGAGCATGGGTCTTTTTGATTCCGGAAGCCTTAATTTTTAGTACTCCCTTCAAATAGTCTCAGAAGTCTCTTACAAGAGAATTCTCTTCTAACGACATTCATTATGAAAGTGAAAGAACGTTCAAAGTTTTACAAACAAGGATTTTATATTTCCTGCAAGTCTAGCTAAGTACATAAGACAATGCAACACAAATTCATACTATAATCATTTAATTATTGCTCTAAAAGGTGCTTTAGAAGTCATTTAATCTAAATCATCCATTTTCAGATGGAAAAACTAAGATATTTGTGATGCAAAGTTATGAGTGACTGTGAAGGTGAGAACTTGAAGTAGTTTCTTAGAACTCCAAGTCTAGGATTCCTTTGACCTCTACCACACCACTCTGAAGAACTCAGTTTTTTCATAACAAATGCAGTAATTTATGAAAAAATGTTAAATCCTTTTAGATAGTATTAGGAACAATTCTCTCTCTCTCTCTCTCTCTATATATATGTATAGGGATATGTGTATATATATATTTAGGATATATAGGAATTATATAAGATACTACTCCATATATATGTGGATATATATGTATCCCTGTATATATATGGATTATTAGCATCTTGCAGTTTGTGAGCCAACTGAGGCATTAGAAGTCAAGTAACTTGCTCAAGGTTTCATGTAATAGCAAATACTGTCATAGCTATGTGAGACCTTGAGCAAGTCACTTGATCTCTAATGCCTCAACTGACACATTGCTAATATAAGATACTAATAATTCCTACCTTACAGACTTTTCTAGAACTTTCAGTGAGATAATTATCATTCACAGTGCATCTTGTTTCTGATAAATTGGCTTTTGTAAGTTACTTTGGGAAGAGAATCACTATTTTTGTAATACTGTGTTTGGGGAAAAAAAGAAAAATACATTTTGAGTTTCTGACAACTGACTTATAAACTCATTTCTGGAAAACACTCTATGAGGTGGGAACTGCTAATAATTAAATATAAAAGAGTCATTAGAACAGATTACCAGCATATTATTTGGATGCGTTAGTCAGATGTTATGTCTTAAATCATACCCGTCATTGATGATAATTTTTTTTTGCTATAATATGCCATACCTATATTGGGAATAATCAATGGCATCACTAGCCTGGTTCTGATGAATGCTTTCATCATCGTTTTCCAGCAAACCCTGAGGATTACTGTCTTTGATCTCTTTACACATTCTTCAGGGAACTTATTTTGGCCTTGAAAGGCATTATTTCTCACTGTATCTGTTTTCCAATGTGTTTTATTTGCTGTTTTATTACTCTTTCTTAACAGAGGAAAATAATATTTAGTAGACACATAAAACTATCAGAGAGTAGGAAATTTACATTCAGTGTTTCTAAGATTTTGGAGAAATCTGAAAGCAGGCTAAGCAAACAAAGGAAATGACAGACATTCACCAGTCCATATTCCTTAAGAGTTATAGAGTTTTGAAAAACTTGTATTAAAATTGAGAAACTACCCAACATACATTTTCTGTTATAACAGGTATATTTTCTATGTCAAACTTCCTTTTGAGCTTATTCAGATTATTTCAGAATGTCCTTCATTTCCTTCTTTCCCTCCTTATATAAAAAAGCTCTGGTTTCTTAAGCTCATTTAAATCTTACTGTTCTTTCTGGCTACTTCTTTTCACTTCCAAATTTTCTATTTGAGTAATGGGGAAAGCATCTGCTTCTACTTTTTCAACAACCCTTTTTTTCCATATTCCTTGTGATTGCTGCTGTCACCTGCCTTCTCTAGGATTCCTGACCTCACAGCTTTAACTGCAAAAATGATCATTGTGCCAAATCTCCTTGTCCTGTGGGCACCACCGAGCAGTCTGCTCCACTTCTCTGCCGACTCTTTTATTTCCTGATTTCTATGATCCCACTCTTTTCATCCTTCTGCTGTTTCTTTGATTATTCTTTTGTCTCTTTCACCAGATCCTTTCTGTCCTCCTGTCCCTTAAACATGGATACTTCATTAGTTTCCAGTCTAGCCTTCTAATTTTTCATGTTTTTTGGCACACATCATCTATTCACAGGTCTTCAGCCTTCATCCCAGAAAATAATTCCCGCTAAATATCTAGCCTAGCCTTCTTTCAAAGGTCCAGTTTTCTAATTGCTTGCCTAGCATTGCTGCCTGATTAGCCTGCTGTCAACCCAAACTTGGTGTGTCTGGAAAAAAACAGCTTTTTCTGCTCTTAAATCTCGCTTACTCTGTTAACGTCCCTGTATATTTCAGTGATTCCAGAACTCTCACTTTGCAAAGGCTTGAACCTAGCAACTGCCTTTTCAGTGTCTGCCTTTTCAAGCCCCACATCCCTTCGTCTTGTAGTTGCTGATAGTTATTTCTTGACAATATCTCTTGCATTTACTCTTTCCTTTTTTCTGCAAGCTATTTTACTAAATCCTTATTAGATTATATTTGTCTTGTTACAGCAAATTTTTAATTCATATCCTCCATCCTACCTTTCATTCCAATTCTGACCCCTTTTGCATACTAAGGTCAAATTCACCTTTCTAAAGTACCCCTCGAATTATGCCATTATGAACGAAATCTTAGATGACTCCTACAATAGAAAAAAAAAATCTCTTTAGTTGCTCATTAAAGACTCTGCCCGGCTGGGTGCAGTGGCTCACGCCTGTAATCTCAGCACTTTGGGAGGCCGAGGAGGGTGGATCACAATGTCAGGAGTTCGAGACCAGCCTGGCAAAGATGGTGAAACACCGTCTCTACTGAAAAGAGAAAAATTAGCCAAGTGTGGTGGCGGGCACCTGTAATCCCAGCTACTCCGGAGGCTGAGGCAGAGAATTGCTTGAACCCAGGAGGCAGAGGTTGCAGTGAGCCAAGATGGTGCCATGTACTGCAGCCTGGGTCGAAGAGTGAGACTCCATCTCAAGAAAAAAAAAAAAAGACTCCCCAGAGTAAAAGCAGCCTACCTTCCTATCTTTATTTTTCTTCTTAAAATGACCCTCTGCTGCAGCCTAATTGGGTAAGTCACTACTCTCAAGAAATGCTGAAGTTCTTGATGGTGCCCTTCCTAGAAACCCCTTTGTACTGCTCACAACCAACTCAGCCTGTAATATGGATCTCATTCTCACATCTTCTGCAAAGCCTTCCCTGACTACCGTGGCCCTAAGTAGTTTTTGTTTCCATAAACTAGGATGGTATGTTTTAAACTTTTATTTTAGGTTCCGGCATACATATGAAGGTTTGTTGCATAGGTAAACTCATGTCATGGTGGTTTATTCTACAGATTATTTCAGCACCCAGGTATCCAGCCCAGTATCCAATAGTTATTTTGTTTCTGCTCCTCTCCCTCCTCCCACCCTCCATCCTCAAGTAGACCCCAGTAAGAACATGCAATATTTGGTTTTCCATTCATGTATTAGTTTGCTGAGGATAGTAGCCTCCAGCTTCACCCATGTTCCCACAAAAGACACAATTTCATTCTTTTTTATGACTGCATAGTATTCCATCTCATCTGTCATTTATGGGCATTTAGGTTGATTCCATGTGTTTGCTATTGTGAATAATGCTGAAATGAACATTTGTGTGCATGTGTCTTTATGGTAAAATGATGTACATTCCTCTGGGTATATACCCAGTAATGGGATTGCTGAGGCGAATGGTAGTTCTGCTTTTAGCTCTTTGAGTAATTGCCATACTGCTTTTCTCAATGGTTGAACTAATTTACATTCCCACCAACAGTGTATCAGTGTATACGCGTTCCCTTTTCTCCACAGCCTCACCAGCATCTGTTATTTTTTGACTTTTTATTAATAGCCATTGTGACTGGTATGAGATGGTATCTCTCTGTGGTTTTTATTTGCATTTCTCTAATTCTCAGTAATAATGAGCTTTTCTTTGATGTGATTGTTGGCCACATGTATGTTTTCCTTTGGTAGGTGTCTGTTCATGTCCTTTGCCCACTTTTTAATAGGGTTGTTTGTTCTTCTTTTATAAATTTAAGTTCCTTATAGATGCTGGATATTAGACCTTTGTCAGATGCATAGTTTGCAAATATTTTCTCCCATTCTGTAGGTTGTCTGTTTACTCTGTTGATAGTTCCTTTTTCTGTGCAAAATCTTTTAAACTTAATTACATCCCACTTGTCAATTTGGTTTCTGTTGTGATTGCTTTTTGTGTCTTTGTAATGAAATCTTTGCCCCTTCCTATGTTCGGGGTGGTATTGCCTTCGTTGTTTTCCAGGGCTTTTATAGTTTTGGGTTTTACATTTAAGTCTTTAATCCAAAAATTGATTTTACAGGGAGTCATGAACTGGCATGACAACCTGTTTCACTGTTAACTTGAACTTTTTTTAGAATTGAATTTTCATGAAAAAATTCTATTTTAAACTTTACTGTAGATGTGCTTATTTCTCATCACCTAATTAGAATAAAAGATTTTAAAGACAGGGCCAAGTTCATTCATTCAGGTTTCACTAACTGGTTTTTTAATGTCTGTGAAATTTTTAGGGATTTGGCACTGAATCGTATATAATCCTGTCTACAGATAGTTCCCCTCTCTTGGGACAGAGTGGTAGTTAAACAATTAAATGCTGGAGGTTTTAAAAATATTATAGTAGATGTTATGTGGGCTATAGTTAACATAAAAAGTAGAGATGATTAATATTATGTGGGGTGTTTATGAAAGGTCGCAAAGATAAGTCTGGAAGGGCTTTATACAGAGGGCAGGACTTGAGATGAGTCTTTCTATCGTATGGTGTTTCATTCTTGTGAAGTGCTATGAGAGTCGCAAAGGAAGGGAAGACCCTAGTTGGGTGACGAAAGACTTCACAAGAAAGCTAGCCTCTGATACCCACAATTTCCAGTGAAGCAGAATGCCCAAAATTTTGAGTCATTTTTAGGAAGAAAGTAAGCTGCCCAATTTGACTGAAGTATAGGTGTTTTATTGGTGGGTGGGTGATAAAAATAATGCAATTACAGATAATGTGGATTTAATTCATGCTATTTTCCTATTCCTATCTAAAGTACCTTTAATTCATGTCTTTCCTTCTACACACGGTTGTCAAAATAAAACCCTTCTGCATACTTTTTGAATTTTAAGTTGGAGAAAATGTTATTTGACTTTGGCTTTTTGAATGTATTGATTGTGTACTGTACTTGGTGGCTCCAACTCTATATAATTATTATGAAACAATCTTAAGGTGATCAACTGCCTCTTTATTACCATTGGATATACAGAGTTCTCTCCAGCAATTTTCAAGAGATGTAAGATGTGTAACAGAAGTGCTGTTTAATGCTAGGAGTAGATAGCTACTATAATTGGTCATAATTTCAAAAGTTAATTATGGCCACAAAATTTTTCTTATTTCATATGTGATAAGTCTAAAGATAAAGCAATAATATGAGAAATGTTTTATTGTTTCTTACATAAACGTAGTCCCATAAGGAGTTTATTAAAAAAGAAAAACTAGTTTTGAGGCAAAAGCTATATAACACATAAAGTAGAATAAATGAATCCATTTGAATTGTTTGTAAATTGTGTAATTAAACTGCAAAATTATAGTTATTTCATTTATTTTTACATCATTTTAGTGTTATTTCTTGGATATTTCCTTTGATGGACAAGGAGGTTATTGATCTTGAAGCACTGCTAAATCATATGCATTTTTGAAAATGACTTTCCGAACGGCAGGCTGTAAGAGGTCTTGGCCATTCATTTATTTTCCTTTCTATTTGCACTCAATTTTTTATCACTTGCTATAATAACCATGTGATATATATGAATGCCACATTTGTCTGTTTAAAAGTATCATTTTAGTCTTCTAAATCAAACCGATTTAGGTTTTAAGTAGCCTGTGCTATTTGCATGAAGAATCAATGTGCTACTTGCCATATAGTGAAATTTACAAGATCAAGATCTTGTTTGCCCTCAATCCGGTGTATTCTATTTGAGCTGAACCTGATAAAGATGTGCATAATGAAACTGCAGTGGCCTCACGGGGTTTGTACACTCAATGCCTGACATTGGTATAATTGAGAAGCCAAATAAAAATCCCACTACTGTCGATTTTGTTATCCCAGGAGAAATAGAGATAAAAGGCAAAAGACCGTTTAGAAACTTTTAGAATATAGATTTACATTTAAATTTACTTACAATAAGCAAATATGACTTCTGAGATTTGGAAAGAATACAAACTTCCAGAAAAGATACCGAGGCAGAATATAATAGGATAGAGGGTCTTGGGGTAAGGCACATATTGGTGTTTTTTTTTGTTTGTTTGTTTTTTGAGACTGAGTCTTGTTCTGTCACCCAGGGTTGAGTGCCATGACATGGTCTCAACTCACTTCAACTTCCACCTCCCAGGTTCTAGTGATTCTCCCACCACAGCCTCCCAAGTAGCTGGAATTACAAGCACCCACCATAATGCCAGGAAAATTTTTGGATTTTTGTAGAGACAGGGTTTCACCATGTTGGCCAGGCTGGTCTTGAACTCCCGACCTCAGGTGATCTGCCTTCCTTGGATTCCCGACGTTCTGGGATTATAGGTGTGAGCCACCAGGCCCGGCCAGGTTTGTCTTAACCTAGCTTTTTATTTACTCTGTGAGCCTGCCTAAGTTCTTGTTAATTTCTCTCATTTCTAAAAGGTATTGATAGTTCCTACTATCAATTCAGAAATATATGTAAAATGTCTGACTTAGAAGCTACTTCAGAAAATTTATTTTCTTGTTAAATTATTATTATTTTATTTTAATAGGTTTTTGGGGAACAGGTTGTGTTTGGTTACATGAATAAATTCTTTGGTGGTGATTTCTGAGATTTTGGTGCACCTCTCATCCAAGAAGTGTACATTGTACCCAATGTGTAGTCTTTTATCCCTCACCCACCTCCCAACCTTTTCCCTAAGACCTCAAAGTCCGTTGTACTGTTCTTATGCCTTTGTGTCCTCATAGCTTAGCTCTCACTTATGTGTGAGAAGACACAATGTTTGGCTTTCCATTCCTGAGTTACCTTATTTAAAATAATGGTCTCTCAATTTGTCCAGATTGCTGAAAATGCCATTATTTTGTTCCTTCTTACGGCTGACTAGTATTCTGTCACATTTCTTTATTCTACCACATTTTCTTTATTCACTCATTGATTCATGAGCATTTGGCCTCTACAGAAAGATTTCTATCAGAGTTGCTATTACTTAGGCAATGGTTAGCAATGACAAAAGATCACATTTAGATTCCTCCTTTGCTTTGATATTTTGACCAAGGATCTTGGTTGTGAAATTGTTATTCAGTTGCTTTCATCACATTTTAATATTGGAATACTGTTTTTCTGATCTTGATGTGGACAACAATAGAATCAGGAGTGGTTGAGTTTCTAAAATAAGATGAAAAAGCATCCCTAATTCTTTTAAATCAGAATGAAAAAAATCAAACTACATTAATGGGTAAACCCTTTAGAAACACAGTAAGTGAAAATGAAAACATTTAAAAATACTGTTGACTGAATTGGCTTGATATTTTTTATATAGATAGTCACTCTTTCTTACTGAAAAAATAGAGATGTCAGGGTAGATAAATGACTGTGCTGTGAAAAAAATGCTCCACATATCTGTATCCTGCTTTTCAAGTATGTTACCAAAAAGCCAGAAGGTGGGGGTAGGTTCAGTTTCTATGCATTGCAATGTGTGCTTCTTTCCAGTTGTGTAATTGCAGTGGTTGAGCATGATTTTCCCTGTGAGTTGAGGGAAGCAGAGGAGCAGTTTCACAAGCCATTGAATGGTACCTGTTAGAAAGCCTAGATGCAGACTCAATGCATGAACTTGGGTGATTTGTATGGTTCCAACAGTGACAGCAGTAAAGACATGGTCTTGAACTGACATTTATTAATCTTGTGTCCTCTGATGACTTAAATTTCTCCAAGAGTAGCTCTTTACCTGTGAAGTGAAAGGACATAAACACTTGCTCTACCTTGCTGGATTGTTGCAAGTATTATGTATAATTACAGATGACTAAATAGGAAGCAAACTATGAGTCATCGGCAGGTACCTGGTGTATCTTCTCTTCTTGTCTCTTTGAAATGGATCTAGGCCTGGCACGGGGGCTCACGCCTGTAATCCCAACACTTTGGGAGGCTGAGGTGGGCAGATGACTTGAGGTCAGGAGTTCGAGACCAGCCCGGCCAACATGGTGAAACTCCCTCTCTAATAAAAATACAAAAATTAGCCAGACTTGATGGCACAGGCCTGTAGTCCCAGCTGCTCTGCAGGCTGATGTGGGAGAATCGCCTGAACCTGGGAGGCGGAGGTTGCAGTGAACCAAGATGGTGCCACTGCACTCCAGCCTGGGTGACAGAGTGAGACTTTGTCTAAATAAATAGATAAAGTAGATCTGATTGGGGACGCTTTGGTAGTGGGGGAAGGGAGAGAGTTTGTTATTTTTACTGAAAATAGAGATTCAAAGGGAAAAGAATATTTAGAGACCAACAGAATGTACATTTCAATTTGAGTTTTGATTAGAATTCCTATGATATGCAAGTGTTATTTCTGGGAATGGATTAGAACTCAGGCAGAGTGTGACAGGTTAAGGACTTTGGGTCAGGCAGACGTGGGTTTGTGTCTTGGCCTAGCTTGTTAATTTTCCTCATCTCTAAATGATATTGATAGTTCCTACAATTCAGGAATATTATCAAGAGAACTTGCATTTCTGATCTACTATGTTTTGATCTTGACCACCCAGGCTGGCTCTCACTAATGTTATAGAAAGGATCTAAGGTGATATGACTCCATGTAACAGTCATAAGATGGAAGAAACAACAGGAAAGTCTAGTTTTATAGTTATTCGTAGTTACTTCTCATGAATGTCATATCATACCATTAGGCTATCCATGGTACCCCCTACCCTCCTTTAGGTAAGGGAGCTCCAGATATCTCCTGTCAGTATTCATGGAGCTCAGCCACGTCTACTTTTATCTTCACAGTGGGACAGCTAGGCCATCTTCTGATACCTTACAGGAGGTACCAGTGATGGCCTGGAACATGATGGAAAACCCCAGGGCTGAGGAAGTCCTGGTAGAATTCTAATGAGGTTGTTACTGAATTCTTCAAATGTTTAGATCCAAGTATCAAGAGCCAATTTATTTAGCTCTGAAATATTTAAATTCTGGAGCTTTAATGAGTCCAAAGCTACAGATGTAAATCAGTATTTATGCTATATTGACTTTTGAAGATCTGATACAAGAACTTGAGGAAACTCGCTGAACACATACCCAGATGGTTTACTTTGGATGAAGAGATACAAATTTCTACAGTGTTGGCCCTTTTGGTTAAAGAATTTTCCTAAACAAAATTCGTATACCTAACTTTGGTCCTTTAAAACCAAGAAACAAGAAAGTATAGACCACAACAAATATGCCATGTAATCTGAAGGTGCTATCATTCTTCCCTATGAATCCTACTATTTATTGTTGTAATTGGCCCTTACATTTTCATGATGTTGTGAGTGGTTGGTTAGAGAAGAAGTAATGCATTTAAGAAATGCTTGTCCTATTCTGCCCATTTCAACAAGAAATTTTTTTCCGCAAAGGTTTAATACAGTATAGGTTTCATAACCATAATTTATTTTTTAATTGAGGCTTATTTTTCTGAAACTAATGAAGTATATCCTTTGTTTCCCTAGCCAATAGTTTATATTGTAATTACTAATTTCTACTTTGATATTATTGACAGGTGTTAGCAAATTGAATTTATAGGTTCCTGACTGTAGAGGGGTATCAGCTGGATTATTTCTTATTTATAAAGATGATCTATTAATTTACTTTCTAACCGTAAATGGACGCCATAATTTCCTTCATGCTTTCCCTCCTGGCTAAAAATTGTAATTAGTTATAACTCTAGAGTATTACAGAGTGACAATGATTTTGAGAACACATGGATCATTCGAATCTCATAAGTAATGGTATCGCTCAACTTTATTACACAAATTTAAAACATTAAAAAATTAAACATTAGAAATAAATTCTGTATTTAATGGGGGATTAAATTACTTTAATGGTTGAGGGAATTGCTTCTATGGTCTAGACTGAAAGTGAGCTTCAGATTTTTGCTGCTTTCTGCTATCACTGAGATCACACACATCTTGTAAAAGATTAACAATGCAGTTACACATGGCAGTCATTCAAGAAATGTTTGTTAAGTTAATGAAGACATGAGGAATGAAAGAACGAATGAAAATGAAATGTCATTCCAAGTTCTGTCAAACTTTTAGAATGTCGGGTATCATTTCTATCCGAAGTTGATGTTCCTAAAAATTTATGAAGTTTTGGTACCTAGTTTTGGCAGAGGAAAGTCATGAAATATGTTTTAAACGAATCACTGTATTAATACTCTCATATGGTAGAATTTACAAGATAAAATTTCAGTTACTTGATGTGTTAAGAATTAAACAACATTGAATCAAAGTGCTCTTTGTGGAGCTCTTCCATTAGCCTGCAAACCTATGCTTTTCCTTGATACCTAAATCTGACTTTAGATTGATTTCCTCAACAAGAAAGCGCAGGAAGGTAAAAAATAAGTCATAGAGTCACATGAGGCTTGAAGCCCTGTAACTTAGCTGTGCGACATTGAGCTAGTTGATTCCCCCATGCTCAATATTGTGTATTTAGCTATGCCTAAGTAGCAAGAGGCTGGCACAGTGTAGCCTCACAGTAAATAACAGCCATTAATGTAGCTGTTGTTATTGTTACTATTGTTATTAAGGGTTGTATTAGGATAACAGTTTTAGAGCATACAGTTAACATCTTAGAGTTGTAGCTACTTGATATTATGCGTTAATTTGAATTTCTTTTTTATTCTAAAGTATAGCAAATCCATTTCACAAGATTGTACATGAATTATCCCAGATTGATGTGCTACTTTTAAAAACTTTCATTTCCTAACCTAAATTTTCAATAGCTTCTTATTAGAATGAGTAGTATAGGATAGACTAGAATAAAGATACCCTAAAGGCCCTGTGAAATTTAATATGCATATTTATTATATAAAAGAATCATGAGAAACTTTTAATTTGATGTTTTCCCTTGTTGAGATATAAAATTTGAGTTCAATGTACAATGCATAACTGATCCCTCTTTCATACTTGAACATGAAATCATATTTTGGCGTAAAAATGCAAATAGGTGAAGATTTTTAGCTACACTTGCTTAGCTTTACATTTTTAATCAGCCTACTCAACAATGTTAAAATGTTTATAGATTAATATATATAGTCTCTGTTTCTCTTTCTTGACACATAATTATATCATTAATTATAAATCATAATACATATCAAATTGCCATTATACATATATAATGTAATATATAATATAAATATATAATGTAACATAATACATATATTTACATATGTAATTATGTAAATATATGTATCTGTACATAATATATATATAATGTAAATATGGTATGTATTATGTGTTTATATGGGTGTATGTGTATCTATATATATACACGAATGTGTGTGTGTGTGTATATATACACATATAATGTAAATATATTGGTATGTGTGTGCGTATAATTTACTACCTAAAGGATAAGGTGAAATAACAATTGGCAAATAAGTGTAACTGCAGTATAATATTTATATTGAAGGAAATTCTAATAATCAGTGGTTAATTTTAGACCTTGCCTCCCCCTGTTTTTGAGGCAGGGCCCTCAGAATCTGGCATTGTGGGGTTGGACGCCGCTGGGTCTTAAGTCACAGCTCTGTTGTGATTTTGGTGACCTATCATTTCTTTATTCATTCTGATTTTCAAGCTGAATTTACCCACATTTTCATTGATTCTGTGAGCTAATGTTCTTCCAATAAATTCCTTTCTGCTTCAGTTTCTATTATTTGCAACTGAGAATTCTATCTGCGAAGATACCAGTGCTTCCTACACCACCTTCTTATTTTCATGATATTATGCTTTGAATTTGTGCTTTCAAAAATGTAAACTCTTTGATATTTTTCCTGCCACATTCTGAAATGAAACTTAGTTTTCGTGAAGATGTTATATCCTTTCTCTTTTTCTTCAAAACAGGCCATCATATGTATTCTGAAGAAGAGAAAAAAGAAATTGTTAATGTCGACACTAATTTAAATGCTAATTTGAGGTTTATCTTTCACTATGTGCTCAGACAGTAAAAGCATTGTTATAAAATAAAGACACCTGACAGGGTTGAAGCACACTGTGTGTGGCAGATTGAACAATGTAGCTGTGATATTTTGTAGCTCCTCCCACAAAGGGGTTAAGTCCATTTCCCTACCCCTTGAATCTGAACTGGGTTTGTGTCTTTGACTAATAGATTCTGGTAAGAATGAGTGTCATTTCTGAGTCTTGGCTTAAAGAGACCTTGCAACTTCTTTCTTTGCACTCTGGGACTATTGCTCTGAGACCACCATGTAAATAATACAGTCTGTCCTGCTAGAGAATGAGAGGTCACATGAAGAAAAACATACGGGCTCCAGCTGCCAACCAGCAACAACCGTGGGGCCTGGGCCTCCCAGCCCCTCTCACCTGGCAGCTGAATGCGGCTACATGAGTGAGCCCAGCCACCACCAGAAGAGGAAACCCTGCAGCCCATAGAATTATGAGAAATAAGAAATTTTAGATATACCTAATGCTAGATAACGAGTTAGTGGGTGCAGCGCACCAGCATGGCACACGTATACATATGTAACTAACCTGCGCATTGTGTACATGTACCCTAAAACTTAAAGTATAATAATAATAAATAAATAAATAAATAAAAGAAATTTTACTGTTTGTAGTCACTACATTTTAGGGGTGGTTTCTTCTGTAGTCAAATGAAAACTTTGGCAAGTCTTAACACCCACAATATAATACAATCTTAGTTTTAACCTAATGGAGTATAATAAATGATGCTATGTTATCATATTCTTTTCACTTGCAGGATGATAACATTTCATGTATTCTAGCTTTCATGCATGATTCCTAAGCTTACTGGACTTTTGATACCTGCACTTTTTCACTGGGGTGTTTTCATTTGGGAGCTTTTCTTGAGTTAAATGGAGACAACAGGAGATTGTCAAATCCAGTTTTGAGCAAAACAAATTTTGGATTAAGAAAAGAACTACATCTTTGTATTTAAAACAGTGGCATCTGATTTATAAGGTGGCATTTGGGATAGTTCCTGCCTTTAAAAAATCGAAGCCTGGCCGGGCGCGGTGGCTCACGCCTGTAATCCCAGCACTTTGGGAGGCCGAGGCGGGCGGATCACGAGGTCAGGAGATCGAGACCATCCTGGCTAACAAGGTGAAACCCCGTCTCTACTAAAAATACAAAAAATTAGCCGGGCGTGGTAGCGGGCGCCTGTAGTCCCAGCTACTCGGGAGGCTGAGGCAGGAGAATGGCGTGAACCCGGGAGGCGGAGCTTGCAGTGAGCCAAGATCGCGCCACTGCACTCCAGCCTGGGCGACAGAGCGAGACTCCGTCTCAAAAAAAAAAAAAAAAAAAAAAAAATCGAAGCCTAAGGATGTATAAAACCCATTATAAATTTATAAAGAGTAGCTATTAGCTTGTGTTAAGTCTCATTTGCTATAAACATACAGTTTAAATGACTTGTTATAAATTCACACTGAAATGTGGGAGGTAAGTTTTTTTTAGATGAAAAATCGGTTGTCGTAAGACCGAGTATTATACTTGAACATACCAAATGGCAACATTTCAGAGTAATCCTGCAGAGAGACGTTTAGTTGCCTTATAGAAGTATTTCACTGGGGTGGCACACTAATGGAATTTGAGCTCCAATCAGGCACGGACTCTTGTCACCAAAGGGTTAAAAATACAACCCATCATTTTAGCATTGTGAAAGAGGAGGCTGATGACAGCAAGAAACAAACTTGCAGGAGACAAAAGGATGCTCAGGTTAGAGAGAGCTGAGAGATGGGCATGAAAATGAGCTTGCCGAGCACTAAGACCACAGACAAAAGCCATCCCTGCATCAACAGAGCCAGCAGCAAGCATTTGGCAGTGGGAAGGAGAGTGTTCAGACAAATCAGTTACCGAACATTCCATCATTCCACATGAGTAATCCCGTACACAGGTCCTGCACACCATCCTCAAAGATTAATGATGCTGACAGGAGGACACACGTCTCCCAGTAAAGGATTTCTACACTGGGCCAAGAAAACTGCAGGGTACCCGGAAAATGATTCGTAGGACACTGCAAGAAGTGGGATCTAGATAAGACTTAGATTAGAGACTGTATTACAGTTTTCAGAATGTAAATGTTCTTATTGGTTCATCAGAAAAAACTAAATCTTGATTTAAGAACCTCACTGTGTAGTATTTATAGTTTATTTTTTTGGATGGCAATAGATGCTAAGATAATAAGATGGGAATTTTATTCTAAAATAAATGATCAGTCATTTTTTAACATTTCCTTTTTAAAAACGACGTCGCAAGTTGTAGATACTTTCGCAATGTGTTAATTTTGTTTCAGCAGCAATAGGAAACTATCACAAACTTAACTGCTTAAAACAACACAAACTTACCTTATAGGTTGGGAGGTCAGAAGTCCAGAATGAGTTTCATTTGGCTAAAATCGGGTTTTCAGCAGGGCTGCTTTCTGAAATCTCGAATGGAGAATGTTTCCTTACCTGTTCTAACTTCCAAAGGCGGCCTTGGCTCCCTGGCTTATGGTCCTCCTCCATCTTCAAAGCCACAGTGTAGAACCTTCAGATCTCTCTCCCTTTCTGTCTCTCTCTTATCTCTACTTCCATCCTTACATTTCCTTTTTCTGACTCTGACCTTCTTGCATCCCCTTTATTAGAACCCTCGTGATTCCATTGGCCCACTTGGGTAATCCACGATAATTTCCCCACCTCAGTGCCCTTAGTTTAATGACATCTGCAAAGTCCCTTTTGCAAGGTAAGGTGACATATTCATGCGTTTTCGGGATTAAGACATAGGCATCATGGCATGTGTGTATGGGGGAATATTATTGTACCTACCACACAAGTTATAGAACAATGTTTGTTTGAAGTTTGTATCTACCTGACCTTTAATATAGGGTTTTGGTGCCCACCATGAATAAACTTACATAGGCACAACCTTTTACAGAATGTTTTACTATTAGGGCTGACTTCAGTCTCCATGAGTTATACCAAAGGGAGGGTTGTGGTGTGTGTGTGTGTGTGTGTGTGTGTGTGTGTGTGTGTGTGTGATTAGAGGTGGGACACGAGGACTATTTCAGGTGAGTAGCCCATTGGATAAGAAGTACTAAAACTACTTGTAAACTATATTTATTTAAAGATAAATAACTCTATGTTTTGTCTTAAACTCTATTAAGAAAAAATGTTTTTCCATAAGGGTCAACTCAGAAAACATATACTCTAACAAGTTACACTGGCTAGTTATAGAGTAGAAGAATGCCACTGAGAATTTGCCCAGCTTTTAGCTGCTAGAATATTAAGATAAGAACATGTTTGAGATGTAGTGATTTGAAGGCAATTGCTCGTATTTTGCCTCAAAATGAGGTCCCTGGTTATAAATGTAAAAAATAAGTAGAACGTGGTTTGTGATTCTCTGCTTTGGCTAAATTATTGATTACGTAAAGCCTAATGGTACCACCCATGAAAAATTATATTTTCATATATTGAAGTATTCTGTACATTTGTTACAACTCAACAGTAGCTACTAATATTTCAGCCAGAAATAGGATTACAGAGAATTGTAAGAAATTGCAGTTGTAAGAGAACAATGCTTAGAAATACGGGCACCAGAAATATGACTAACTGAGTTGAAATTCTTTATTCTACCATCTCTTGGTTGTGGGCATTGGTCATTTATTTCACTCCTTTATGTGTCAGGTTTTGTTGCTGGTGGTGGTTTTCAATATTTTTCATCTCCAAAGTACCATTTGACAGTACCTACTGTATAGAGTTTTACAAGGATTAAATGAATTGCTTAAAACAGTGATTAACACATAGAAAATACTCAAAGGATATTAAAATAAATAGTCCAAATTTGTCAATAATTCAACGTGTGACAGTTATAACGATGTCCTCATGAATGTTTTGTACCTAAATGCTTTAGAATTCTTGGCTAGCCTAAGATTATATTCAGTGATATATTCAAGCAACTTTCCATATTTTTGATAATTATAGTCTTCTACCAAATGTCTTTGGTGAATGCTATTATCATCGTCACATTGAAAAATTAAGAGAAATAATACATTAAACTATTAGAATCAGGAGACTTGCTCAAAGGATGTTAGCCTTTCCGGTCATGTGTTTCTATGGTGCTTACCTACGTGATTTAAATTCCAGACAACTATACCCTCATTTCCACCTCCACTACCAGTATTCACCAATTATAAGTGGTAAAACTTCAGTAGTGGTCATTAAATAATCTCCACTAAATGGGTAAAGTGTGTCATTTGTGATGTCACTTTAAAATGATATTTGGTATGAATCTCTGTCTTTGGGAATCCTTAGTCCAATATATTTTTTTAAATGTTCCTTTTTTCTCTGTATATCTAAAATAAAACAAAACTGGTTAGGCTGCTTTTGTTTTCTTGGAGTGAGAAACCACAAGAATGCACAACTCAACAGAATTTTCTCAAAGCAGCTCAAAATTCTCTCTCAGATTAATGGCAATGGGGCAGAAGACTTCAGTGGAAATGGTAATTTTAGGAGTTGTACAACTTATCATAGAACTTGATGGTTGTGAAGGTGGTTTGTTTTATGCATGGCATATGGGATCTGTTGATGAGTTTGGCATTGATGCCAGTAAACCAGAAAGAGACTTTGGATTAGTCGTTAGTGGCTGTCCCTCCAAATACCAAAGAATTGGAAATCCAAATTTCAAAGTTGTAGAAGAGCATAAAGAATGAGTATTTTCAACTGATGCTCAGTTACAATGACTAGAAAATATTTAAATGGATTGATGTGTTTCTTTTTTCAAAAATTTTTTGTAGCATCTTTGATGTACTAAAACGAAACAAACTGTTATATTTCAGCATTTTGGAAGCTGATTTTAAAATTCAGGTGTATTTTAAGAAAAATTTGTATGCGTACTTAAAATTTCTTCCCACATTACTCATCAAAACAATGTTCCGAAGTAGCTAAAGCTGTGTTTACATCATCTTCAGGGATTTGGGCTGTTGAAAGGAATAAAAGAATGTCACCAGGGCAACTATCTACACAGGGAGGGGGATTCAGGAACAAAATTTTACATGAATAAAGAAATAGCACAAAAGCCAATAGTATTTTGGTGTAAGAATATTCCCATTACTGGGGGAGGGGTTACCATAACAGAAGTAAAAACACTGGGAATATAATAGTAGCTCTAATTATGAAGTGCTAAATATTAACTCATTTAATCTTCACCACATTCCCTTGATGTAGGTACTACTTTTATGCAATTTTTACAGGTGAGAAAACTGAGATTTAGTTTGGCCCAGGGTTGTATAATGAGAGCTAAATCTCAAATCCAGCAATCTGAGCCCTTAAGCGTGGGTAGATAAAAGTTTAATATTTTTCTTCTGGGTTGTTTTACCTTTAATATTTTAGAGTCATTTTGTATAATTAAATAGGTAGGACTGAGTTGAAGTTTAAACAAAGACTTCACTCACTTTTCTGAAATATATCAGTATTTTTTCAACTGCTTCTATTCCTAGCATATTATTTGTACATGCTTTATCTCTACAGCTGAAGCTCGTATGAGGAATTTCCTAAATGTTAGTTATTTTTATATTCCTTATTGTCTGTTTTCTCTATGTATTTCTCATCACATACTTTCATATAATGATGACTGAAATATTTTCAAAAACAATGATGAATTAGTGGAGATATGTTATTTAAGGAGAATTTGAGATCTAACATGATGGGTTTAAAATAATAAGGTTTTCTTTAAAACCTTTAAAATCTTAAATTGTTTTCAGGGTTAAATACTATTTAACATTCCTAAGTTTATAGTTCAGTATAAATCCCTTAAGCGGTGACATTCAACTTGGTCAAATATATTTTCTACATCATTTGTTACAAGTTTACCTGCCTGGTCTAGGTATGCTTGTGAATACGAAATGAATAAAAAAATTTTCCTTTTGAGAATAAATACGTTGAATACAGACTAGATCATGCGAAAATTTAGAATTTTTCAGTCTTGAACAATATATGTAATTAAGTTTAGACCCTAGTGATTTATTAGTTGAAAATTATGGCAGTAATAATCTAGAACAAATAAACACAAAGCCTTTTAGATTTTTTTATATGCACTGCACAATTATTAAGCTTTTTAATTGATCTAAATTAGAGTTACTATTGTTGTATTAAAGTATATTGGGGAGTTTTTATTTTTTGACACTGTATTCTTGATTTTTATAATAGAAGATTTATAACAGTAAAATGATTGGAATCACATTAGGTCATTGGACACCTGAATCCATAGATAGTCCACTCTTGAGAAAAGAAATTAATTATTTCTAAGTCACTTAAAACTCAGAAGAACTAACTGTATACCTTTTCCAGTTGTGATTGAATTAGGGAAGGAGTAGTCATTTAGCTGCTACAAACCAGTTTTGGAAACACTATTTATCGTGTTATAGTTACTAAAGAAGACTTTTTACAAAATTGCAAATCTTTGTTGATAGTTTTTGGCTCCAAAACAAGTTTTTGATTGCTGACAAACCTAACCCCATCCCCCACGACACACGCACACCTCCCCCCACACAATTTTAAATAAGAATTTATGTAAAAACTTTGAAGGCTCTGAAACTATCTGAAAAACATCTGAATGATATCAACCTGTAGATTTGCACCATTCTTTCGTGCTGAAAGAACTCTGACTTGTGAAACAAGTCTCTGGGCCACTCTTTCAAGAAAGCTTTATTGTAAGTACACCACAGTGTCTGATTTCTAATCTTTGACTTGCCTATTTCTCTGACTAGACTGTCACTTGAGGGCTGAGAGTGAGTCTTAACCACTGTCTTTTCTGAGCCGTGTCAAGCCTATTGCATGGTAGGTGCAAAATACATAATAGATGAATGAATGAATGAATGAATGAATGAATGAAATGAATTATCCTTTCATTTCATCTTTCCTGATTTGTTTACAAATAATATACATAGGTTGTTCTACGCAGATGATGGCACTCTGATATCAGGGTTACTTAAAGGTATAACAAGCTTTACCATAAGGGATATAAAATTAAATGAGCCAAGGATTTTGCCGTTGGTGTTATGGTGGTGAGAGTAGGGTTTGAGTGTACAGAGGAGAATTTCAGGTAAAGCAGACATCAAACCATGGGTTTGTGAAGGTGCCTGGCATATGCAGAATTGGGTGAGAAAATCAGGTAGGCTATAACACAGGAGGTTTGGTGGAGAGTGACAAGAAAGAATGGTAGATAATGTGTTGAAGCTAGGTTATTATGGGTCTGAAATACCAAGGTGAGGCTTTTAGACTGTGGAACAAAGGAAATCAATGACAAGACAAGAAGAAATTGAAATAAACAAAATTCTGAATATGGCAGGAAGTCTTACTTGGAAAAATGCTTCAAGGGCTGGGCGTGGTGGCTCATGCCTGTAATCCCAGAACTTTGGGAAACGAAGGCAGTCAGATTGCCTGAGGTCAGGAGTTCAACACCAGCCTGGGCAACATGGTAAAACCCCTTCTCTACTAAAAATACAAAAAAATTAGCTGGGCATGCTAGCACGCACCTGTAATCCCAGCTACTTGGGAGGCTCAGGTAGGAGGCAGAGGTTCCAGTGAGCTGGGCTCTGAGATTGTGCCATTGCGCTCTAGCCTGGGCAATAGAGCAAGACTCTATCTCAAAAAAAAAAATGCTTCAAGGTCCTCATGAAGTATTTTGAAATGCTAACTGTACACAAAGAGTCCCTTGAGCGTGATGAGAAATGTATGTTAAGACTGTTGTTTGGCTCTCTTGATTTGGGTACCAGGCAAGCTTTTGGAGGGAAAGCTTTCTTTACAAAAAGTGAAAATGACCATTTGGAGGAGGTGTTTCAAAAAAATTCTTTCAGGAGGTCATGATTCCTCTAGAGAAAACGTATGTTTGCTTTTGTACAATAAACATATATTAACCTAATAAATAAATACAGGTCATTGTGTAGACCTTGGTCAAACTCTTTGCTCTTAGTTCTCTTTACTTTCTGACAAAATTGACCTTCCAAATTTGTTTACTCTTAAAATGTGACCTGGAACATCCATCATATAAAATTATTACTGCTAAACTGAAGGAAATGCAGATTGATCTATATCAAAGCAAAACCGTTATAGTGAAAGTATGGCCATCTTCCTGAATCTCTTAAAAAACACAAATATTTGTGGATTGCCTACTGTGTACCAAGCTTTTAATAGTTTTATGGTTTCTTCCATCTCTGTGAGCATATCTATTTTTTTTGATATTTAATGAATGAGTGAATGGAGGATGAATGTCAAAGTGGAGCTATTGCAAAAAAGGGGAGATTTTATCATATTATTTTGTAGCTTCTTTCTTCTTTTTTTCCTCCCACACTCTTTTCCAGATTCCCTTCCTCTCTGCCTTTCCTTCCTCTTCCCTTCCTTTCTTTCTTATTCTCAAATCAACATCTCCTGATACAATATGACAATGGATGTCTTAAAGGAAGCAAATAATAATGCAAATATAATTGCAGCATGTGTATTTATTATTTTTCCTGTGAAAATGGCAGATTGAAAAACTTTAAAACAGTAATTATTTCTATGCAAATAAATTCTGCTAAGTACAAATGATCCTTATCCGTTTTTTAAAACAAGCACAACAGGAATTTTACTTGGTAAATGTTTTTAGTATTTAGAGAGATTCTTTGTAGGAAATGTTAAATGAATCATGTCAATGAGTGAAAACAAAATGAAACAATCTCAACACATTTCATGACTACCAACTGGAAAGACAAAGACAAAAATTGTCCCCAGTGAAACTGATTTCTTACACTAGCATCTGCTTATTCTATATCTGCATCTTCAGCTAATGTAGATCTATAGATTAACAGAGAGATACTTTAAAATATAGTTGACAATATGTCTATACAGGACAATTCCTCAAGTAACAGATGTTCTAGGAGCTAATTCAGTTTATAAACTCATAGGATTGCAAAAGAGGATATGTAATCTGCTGATCACACTAATTTTTCTTGTGTCCATTCTTTGCATTTATTTTATTTGACTTGTAGAAATCCCACTTGATACAATACTCCAATGAATGAACTATGATGTTTGGAGTGGTATGCTGCAGTCAGATTATCTAAAGAGTATTTGAATCCATTGCAAAATGGAGATTATTATGTAGACATGGTTAAAATTAAACGAGCATACATTAATATATGTGTCCATAAAAAGAATAATGTGTAAGTTGTTACATATATGTTTCAATAAAATGTAATTATTGTATCATACACAAATACGGATATCATACACCCCCCTACTCACCCACAGCAACAGATAAGTTTTCTCCTATTCCTTAATCATTTTCATAAATAGTATTTGGTGAGTTTATTTTTGTTTTATAAAATAAATTCACATAGTTTACTTGGAATTTAAATGCTACATTTGGAGAAAGCACTTGAATTGGAAAAAAAATCCTTTATAATAGTCCATAATCAAACTCACGAAGAGCTTATTTTTTAAAAAACCTTATGGCTATAGTTATCTTGATATTTAGAAATAGAAATAATTTTTTAAGTTAATAAGTTATGGGTTTTGATTTTGTGGGGACAAAGCTAGTGAGAAGGAGAAATGTGCCTAAAAGTTATTATTATAATAAAAAGTTCTTTATGTGATTTTGAGTCTATTTCCTCACTATGAAGCACTGTCATAAATACTATTTACAATAAATTAACTCATGCAGTAAAAGAGATAAACTTTACTAAAAATGAGATATCCTAAAATCACATCAAATTTAATTTCGTATTATAACCATTTGTCTGGAGATTATTTTCTCCTTTTCTAAAACTATCCTGTTCTAAAAAATGTCTCTCCTCTTGTAAAATGCACATTACATGCACATGTATTCTAATTTGTGGGAAATAAGATGGAAAAGCACCAATTCTTAAAGCAAATTCATGAGTTTCTTCGTTTGAATTATATAACCATTTTGTGTTAGAAGCATTGCCTTAAATATAAATATGGAGTTGATTTGGAATATAATGTTGGGAGAATAGAGCTGAAAGGAAATATTGTACAATTACCATAAGTGGCTTTATTTACTTAAATAAATAATGAAGAATACTTGGGCTTAATTCAAGAATCAGCTAGTAGAGCTAAATAAACAAAATTGCCTTCTTCTTTAAAGTTAATTTAAAACTTCTTGTTGGCTGATTTATGCGACTTTCTGGAAATCATTGGACGTAATGCTTTATATGAGTTAGGGTGATTTCTACTATAACAAATAGAAAGGTCTCCTCTCAACTGACATTATATCATGAAAAAAGTGATTATCTCATATAAAAACGCATTCAGAGGCATTGCTGTTGAATACTAGTCAATAAAGCCAATAAGATCTGCTTAAATGCTTAAAAACCCACTAGCTGAAAAACAAGCGTTCACAGTTAATACTTTGGGCAAAATCAATGTTGTAGACTTCTTTGTCTCACTAATTATAGGCGAAAGTCTTATATAATTGTTATTTCTGATTGAAATCAGCTAGTTTTCAAATTAAGTAAAACACCCCTTCATGCACTCAATAAATACTTATTGATTGCTCACCTTCTGCAACTTTGTGAAGTACAGAATGTTTCATAGTTAGAGTGCAATTTTAATGCCATCTTTTGAAGATAAATTATGATATGGGAATCAACAAATAGATATTATTTCAAAGCTCCAAGGGTAATGCTTTATATATGCTGATGATCTTTGTTTAGAAAGGACTGTGTTCACCATTCTTTGAAAAATTCTACCTTCCTTTCATTTTGGGTAAGCAAAATACTGATTACAGTTTTTACATTTATGAGTAGATCATGAGTGGAAGTCTGGTTTAAGGAAAAGTACTTAATACCCGACTGGAGCCAGTATTTATATCAGCGTTATATTTGGAGACTATTTCTCTTTGGACTACTACATGCGAGAGAAATTAACTTTTTTTTTTTTTTTTTTTTTTTTTTTTTTTTTTTTTTGGTACGGAATCTTCCCTCTGTTGCCCAGGCTGGAGTGCAGTGGCACGATCTCTGCTCACTGCAAGCTCCGCCTCCCGGGTTCATGCCATTCTCCTGGCTCAGCCTCCCGAGTAGCTGGGACTACAGGCGCCCTCCGCCATGCCCGGCTAAGTTTTTTTTTTATTTTTTTATTTATTTTTTATTTATTTATTTTTTTTATTTTTAGTAAAGACGGGGTTTCACCGTGTTAGCCAGGATGGTCTCATCTCCTGACCTCGTGATCTGCCCACCTCGGCCTCCCAAAGTGCTGGGATTACAGACGTGAGCCACCGCGCCCAGCCGAGAGAAATTAACTTGTATGCTGCTTAAATAGTATTATTTTGGACTTTGCTTTAACATAAAGAAAAGCTAAAAAATACAGTGTGTTTAAAATATTCATAAGTCATGCATTTTACATACAAAGTTATAGTAGCCAGAAATGATCATTAACCAAGTTGCAGATCTTGAGGCTTTAGATTACTTCATCTTATCATAAATAACTCTGTAGTCTGTCTGAGTATGTAATTATGCCTTCATGTAGTCTTCAGGATGTCTCAAGCAGTGTGGTCCAACAGAACTTGGGGCAGTGATCGAAGAGGATGTATTCTGTGCTGTCCAAGATGGTAGCCCTGTTTCTCTTCTGTTTTCTTCTCATTTGCCCTTCTTGAAGAAGTCATGCATGACTAGACAGATATAAAGATATCGAGGCAATAAATAGATTTCTCATATATCAAGTGAGTAGATATAGAAAAAGAGTAAACAAGTAGGAACATACATGTAAGTCAAACTAGATATCTTGCAGTGTCTCAGTGAGTACTTAAAACTTCATGGTGAACACGGTATATTTTTCTGATGCAGCAGCTTTTACAATTATTTTGGTGGAACTAATTATGTTAAAAACCAACACATTTTTTAATTCTCATACATTTCTAGTGAAACCTCAGAGCTTTGGCTCTTTAGTAAAAATCTGCTGTTGTTAATTCTTCAGTGGAAATTTTCAGGAGTATCCTGCAGAAGACAGACTTCAAGCCCTGGCTTTCCCTCTATTTTTTCCTCCTAACTTTGATCTTTTAATGCCTAACTTTGCTTCAGAGAGTGTGTGAGGTTTACCTAGTTCCCAATTAAAATTGCCCTGATGATTATACAGATACTGCTCCAAAATTTTGAGATCCATTTTCCACCTTGTATGTAGCAGGGTGATATTTGCATCTGGAGCTAAAAAGCAACCTGGGAGATGAAGAGAGCCTTGAGGTAATAGGGCATTTACAGTCTAATTGCCTAGAGACTCCCCAGTTACAGTCTCCATTTGCCAGTCAGGAGACAGACAGCATGTGTATCTAGAATTTTGGTGGGAATTTAATAAAGTGAATACAAAGGGAACGCGTGATGAATGTTTGTTGAGGCATACAGAGATTAGCAACAGTTGGAAGCCATTACAAGGCTGCAGGTAAAAGGAAGAATCAACATCACCCGATATTACCAAAGCCTGACACTTTAATAATTATAGGTTATATTTAAAATCTTAGACTCGACCCGTGGCTTCCGCTTCCGGAACACCAAAGCAGGAAGGGTGTGTGTGAAGAAATCGCCTGCTCTCTCTTCCCTCACCTCTCAGTTTCCTGCTGGGGACTCCCGTTGCCTGAACCTAGTGAGGCCAGAGTGCAAGAGATCTAGGGTGATGAAATCCTTCGGGACCAGTCTCCCGAGGCCTGGTGTAGGACAAAAGAAAAAAAAAAGGAGAAAATGCATGAGAGGTGAAGAGTAACTGGAAACTCATGCCCGATACAACTTCTCAGATTTGCCACAGAAGGAAGCATTTTTTAAATTAGGCAGCCTTTTCTATTTTGGGGATATAGAGATGCAGCTGTTTCAGTTTTTCAAATCGGTGTGAGTTTGATTCTATGATACTTGCATGTTCGTGTCCTAACTACAACTAACATGCACCGTGTTTGTTTTAAATATAATTGAAAATTTTAAAAGCATAAGGTAATTATTATGAAATACATTTTGGTTTCCTACCAGAAGTTCTACTAGTGACAGTATATATGATGAAGAATTTATAATTACAATTCATTTTTATGAGCAAGCATATTAAGGAGAATTAAATGTTTTAAACATAATTGTTGCAGAAGTTACAGAAAATGTGTAATTGGAATGTGCTGTTGAAACGGAAAATAAATAAAAAATATATTATTTCAGCACTATAAAAGTAGTTAACTGCTTTTCCACTCTACCTTTCAGTATCTAAGTAGTTTGTACATCATTCTTTCTTACAATAATTCTTCCTTCTCTTTGCTTTACACAGACCTTTATTACTCTGTGCAGTATGTAGTAATTACACTTGATCCCTTAAAATATTTTGAAGTAATAAATGCTAGCTAGTAAAGTTAATTTTTGTGAACTGTGAGATTTTGTGAGAACAGATCATAAGTTGTAACTAAGCATTACCATAATGCCCAGTAATGCTAGCTATCTTTTATTTAGAATCAAAATCTCTAGCAATTATAAATAGTTGGGAAAGCTATCCCGGTATATTTTCATAAGTAACATAGATGGCAAGTAAACAAGAAGATATTAGTGATTTTTCTTCCCCAAATGGCAACATAAAGAATATGTCATAGGATCATTTTGGCTTTAACCCAATCCCCTGAAACTTTCACATCTAAATTAAAGCCCTCTAATCAGTAACACACAAAATGATGCAGAGACAATATAAGATCACATGACATCTCTGAGTTATCAAAGGTACAGTGTATTATGCAGTCAAGTGCCATAGAGTGAAGTTTTGGTTAATGATGGACCACATATACCATGGTGATACCATAAACTTATAATGGACCTGAAAAATTCTAATATCTGGTGATGTCCTTGCCATCAAAATGAAGTATTACAATACATTTCTCATGTGTTTGTAGTAATGCTGGTGTAAACAAAGCTACTGTGTTGCCAGCTGTATGACAGCCTAGCATAGAAAATTATGTACAGTATATAATACTTGATAATAAATGACTATGTTACTGGTTTATGTATTTACTATACTATTGATGCATACTTTAGAGTGTAATCTTTCTACTTATAAAAAAAGTTAACTGTAAAACAGCCTAAGGCAGGTCCTTCAGGAGGTATTTCAGAAGAAGGCATTGTTATCCTAGGAGATGACAGCTCCATGCCTGTTACTGCCCCTGAAGGGTTTCCAGTGGGACAAGATGCGGGGGATGAATGACAGTGATGTTGATAACCCTGATCCTGTGTAGGCCTAAGCCAATGTGTGTGTGTCTTTGTTTTTCACAAAAAAGTTTAAAAAGGTAAAATTAATATTGAAAATTTTAAAAGCTTAAAGATATAAAGAAAGAAAATATTTTTGTATAGCCGTACAATGTGTTTGTGTTTTAAGCTGTTATTACAACAGCCGAAAAGTTTAAAAAATTATAACCTTGATAAAGTAAAAAAGTTTCAGTAACCTGAGATTTATTTTGAAGATAAAACAATTTTTAAAATAAATTTTGTGTACTTTAAGTGTACAGTTAGTTTATAAAGTCTACGGTGGTATATAGTAATGTCCTAGGATTCAACATTCACTCACCACTCACTGAGACTCACCCAGGGCAACTTCTAATCTTGCAAGCTCCATTCATGGTAAGGGTCCTATACAGGTGTGCCACTTAAAAAAATCTTTTATGCTGTATTTTTACTGTACCTTTTTATGTTTAGATACACAAATACCTACCATTTAGTTAAAGTTGCCTCTGGTATTCAGTGTAGTAACATGCTAAACATGTTTGTAGCCTAGGAGTAATAGGCTGTACCATTTATTCTTTGGTATGTAGTAGGATCTATTATCTAGGTGTGTGCTTAAGTATACCCTATGTTGTTTTCACAATGAAAAAATCGGTAATGATGCTTTTTCAGGAACGTATGCCCATTGTTAAGGGGCACATGACTGCATTATATTTAGTATAATGCTAATCTATATTTTAGTGAATTATAGTTTGATAATCTAGGTTTGTTGTATTTTTTGGTCAGTTAACCTAAGAATTAAGGATATTATTGGCATCTGGAAAAACATTTGTGAAATATCAGGTACACATATTTAGTTTTATGTGATGATGAAAAATGTATTTTGCTAGATAGAGGAGTCTACTTCAAGATATTTACTCTTCCATGAATTTCGGAATGAATAAAATGGTTTCCTCTATTTTTTCAAGGATTGTCCTATGAATGGATACTCAGTGATGAGTGCACCATTCTATGGCTTACCCACCATCGTTTGAGGACTTTTTCTCACTGCATAAGATGTAACACAGGTTCAAAAATTGAAAGTTGAAAATTAAAAGCATTAGAAGAAGGTATCAGAAGAGTAGGAAAAGTTCACCTCCCCAAATAATCTCATGTTATTTTTTCCTCTAAATCTAAATATAACACTTCACCTTATAAATTTTTATCTGTTATTCACCTAATGGAGTTATGAATTATACAGACAGAAACACAAATGTATGTAGGTACTTACTTCCCATAACAACTGTTCAGTTAGTGACCTCTTGCCCTAGCGACTTTCGAAAAGTTATCTGCTTTTTAGGTGACTTTTTTTTAGCGTATCAAAATGTTCACTGCAATATATATTAAGTATATCTGAAGAACTGATATTTCAACATAATGGTTTGAGGCAAAGACACAAGCACTTATTTGCTTGACACTACAGTTTCTAGTAAGAGAATATCATCACACAGAACAAATTTGTATCTCACACTGTTTGTATGAGCTGAAACATTTTAGTTTGCCAAGCAAACGTTGAAAAGACTTCTCAATTTCATGGGAACACATGCTATTTTATTTGGGTATCTAGGCTCTGTCATATTTGGTCTTTAGCCCTTAGGTGTTTTTTCTGTGGTATATCTTTATTCTTAAGTATAATTCAAATATAATTATAAACTCTTAAGTAGAAAAAAAGGTGAAGAGCGAGGTGCAGAAAGTAAAAAGAATAAATCTTTATTCTAATTTGTATAAAAAACTATTTTCAAGTTAATATTTTCACTTACATAACTTGTTTTCTTTATTTAATAAACATTTTTCCTGTAAAAATTGTTTGGGCATTTTGTATTGAAATAAAACACAGTGTAATTTTTTCTCATTAAAAGTTCTTGGATTTCTTTTTTCTTTTAATGGCTTTTTATTGAGTGGCAAGATTTTCAGGAATCAATTAACATTGCTAATTGAAAGATGGCAATAGTTTGTATGTGTATGAATGTAAATTTACCTTCATTTGGGCATATCTATTTTTTATCCTTTGTTGTTCTAGTTTGCCATGAAATACAGTTTATGTGCTGGTATCCTGTCTTTTTCCCTCTCTTTTTTTTTTTTGAGATGGAGTCTCGCTCTGTTGCCCAGGCTGGAGTGCAGTGGCATGATCTCGGCTCACTGCAAACTCTGCCTCCTGGGTTCATGCCATTCTCCTGCCTCAGCCTCCTGAGTAGCTGGGGCTACAGGCGCCCACCACCATGCCCGGCTAATTTTGTTTGTATTTTTAATAGAGATGGAATTTCAACATGTTAGCCAGGATGGTCTTGAACTCTTGACCTCATGATCCGCCTGCCTTGGCCTCCCAAAGTGCTGGGATTACAGGCGTGAGTCACCATGCCCAGCCTTTCCCTCTGTTTTTTTTTTTAACTTGTTCTTTGTATCAGTGCTAAATTTGTGACCCCTTCATATGTAGATTAGAATGAGTATTGTTTTTGATCAAAGAGAGCATTTACAAAAAAACAAAGCAATAAAAGAGCAGATGTAGAATAATTTCCAGACTAAGTCTTCCTTTTAGGACATGTTACTGAGCCCTAAAATATGTAATATGGCAAGTAATATTTTGTAAAGGGACTATCAAATCAATATACCAACATGTTAAAGTGTCTTCAGTAGCTTTACACAATGGCTTTTATATAGCCAGTGGAAAAGACAGTATTTATTCATCTGTCTATGTAGAAAAGAACTTTCTACACATTTGAAGCACTCAGATAAACTGGGGAGAACATGTGTGGATTATTTCCCTGTTTGTAGTGACATCATGATATTAGTTTTGCGGGATGAGAGGGTGATAGTTTTTCCTTGTTATCATGACTAGGGTGGTTTTCCTTGATTTCTATAAAGACTTGCATGGATGTAGGAACGATAAGAGGAATCTAGAAAAGCAACCTTCTGTAATCACTTTTAATTTTTTTTATAACACATAGTAAAAATGTGCATATAATAGTCAGCCTACTAAACAGGACATTTTGACCTAAATTTCAATGCCAGGTGGGAGTTGGCACATTTGATGACTGGCCGGCATAATCCTACACAAAGTAGTTCCTTGCAGGTTGTTGTGTGGTACAGTTTAGCTTATATCTTCTTCCTACTTTGTTATTCTGTTTGAGAAAAGTACCTTTACTTCTGCTAATGATCAGGTTACGTGCCTTCCAAACCCGTTTTTATTTTGCCTCTATTTCCTAATGTCTTGTTAATTCTCCTCTGATTAAATTGGCAGAATTACTTTTTTGAGGAGGCTGTCCTTTTTTGTTGTTGTTGTTGCAGGGTTATACCAAAACAGTACTCATTTTCTTTTTCAGTCATAAATTATTTCCAAAACTGATGACTGTGTACCATGCTTTGTGCCATTTATAATGTGAAATAATGCATTTCCCAGCATGAATTGTAAACTATTCACATTACTGAAACAACGAAAATTACTTGTTATTTTTGGTTTCCTGGTTTGTAATTATCAGAACATCTTGAGATCATGAAAACCCTTTAATGCCTACTTTCAGTGGTTGTTGATGATACATCTTACGTAGTTTTATGTCAAAACTGTAAAGTTCTGTGAAATAATTCCAGAAAATACAAAATCTGTATTCTCAGTTTTTTCTTTAACTTTGTTATTTTCAGCTAAAGAGAACAAGCTAAGGAAAAGAAGTCTAATGAAGAGATAATTCACTATTCATATACACCATCCTCATTCCCTCTATCTGAAGAAAAATCTACTGAGATTAACTTTCATTATTTTATTATTTGATCTTCATCAATTAATAAGAATCTTTACTTAAACAGGTTAATTATTATTTAATTGATATCTCTAGACTATTAAAATTTACTATTTTAGTCTTATTTCTTTTTTCCTGAAGGTTTGTTCCCAGCAAAACAACTCTTTATACTTTTATGTCCATGGATATAATACGTAGTTTTTTAGTCTACTACATGAGAGTAACAGCTTGAGGAAAGTCTCATAATGTGTCCAAATGCCAAGACAATATCTAAAATTGTTTATCATATTTTCTAAGTTGACTTCACTATGTTTAGAACCAATATGCTATCTCTTGATTGAAAATAAGTAGCATTTATTGGACATAGAGTTTTCTTTATATCCTAGGGTAAAATACAGTTTGTGGAGAACTTGTTTGCCTTCGTCTAGTTTTTTTCCTTCCCTGCACTTCGTAACTTTGCTCAGTCTTCGTAATTATTCCCTGTGTGATTTGGGCTATTATATAGAATGCAGAGGTTGTCTGAAGTCCATGGCCTTTTCTGTCTTTGATTATAGCTCCAATATGTTAAAAGGAAGATGGGGAACTGGCAATCAATGGGTACAGTGTTCCAGCTGAGCAAGATGAATAAGTTCAAGAGGTTTGCTGTATAACATTGCATCTGAGTTAGCAACAATGTATTATTATACAATAAACAAAGAATAAGGGGCACAGGTAGTTTCTAGAAAGTCAGCTTATCTAATTTATTGTGTTATTACCATGCTCTGAGCATTTTACTATGTATTTGAAAATATGTCCTCTTAATATAGACATGAGTCCCATTCGCTACATGGGGTAATTGAGGCTTAGAGAAATTAAATGGGAGAATTTGGTTTTGAACTCAGATCTCTGCGCTACAATGTCTTTTAGACATTGTAAAATGCTGTAATATTTAGGTGATTGGTAAAACAAAATTTATAGAAAAATGTAATGCTCTTGCATTATCATCAAAGGGATTTTATTGATTAGTAAAAAAAAAATTCTCAAAGAAAAAAACAAAAAAAGAAATGGTTGTGGAGGGTGTTGTAGGGGTGCGGTTGAGAAGGAAAGTGCTTTAGAGAAATTCCAAGGCAGGAAGAGTGATTCCTCCAGGCTCAGGAGGCAGTGTCCTGGGGAAATGGCAGGGAATTCAGAGTGGAATGTTTACATGGAGCAAATTGCAAGGCTAGGCCCCAAGCATGGGGCTTACAGGTAGAGGTCATAGGAAGTGGTGAGTGGTAAATAGAAATTATTCTGTTGTATTCTCTTTATAGGAAGTGGTGAGGCCTACAGGGCAATGGCTGTTCTGGGTATATCAGGAGGCTGAACTTTAGGCTGGAGTAGGGAGTTCATAGCTTCCCCAAGTGTCTAGACTGGAAGCTGGACAGAGGCGCCCATGAAAGGTCCACGTATACTGGTTCAGGGTGTCTCAGAGAATAACCAAGACAGGCTGATTGCTTACAAGTGAAGATGCCTCATCTCATTTTAAGCCATAAAACAAAGTGATACATTCTGTTAGACCTTAACTTAAATTTAGATCACTACAGATTGCCCATTATACATTTTAGATCTTTATCTTGCTTTGAATATTGACCTTACTGTTCCATCAGTTCCTTTTTATCAATGAATCAGTCTATGGGCCTATCAACATTTTGCAAATTTCTTCTATTTTCTTTCTTTTTAAAAAATGATCATTTACAATGCCTCCCATTGTAAGATTAAATGTATAATCTTTAAAATCAAATAGTTGATGTTGTCAACATTTACAGATAGAATAGCACTAATTCTGGAAAATTGCTGAATACTTGGCCATGCCATATCCATTGAGGTAAGGCCTCAGCTCCTTATTTTACAACATATTTTAGCCCACCAGCTGCCTGGTTTCCTCTTTCGTTATCCATCAGCTGCTGTAGGTGGGACGTTCCACTGCCTACTGTCTCTTGGCATAATTTCGACCATCTGAGGAACATCTAAATGCCCTTTATTTGTCATATTGTGTTCTCTTGATTCTGGAGGCATGTTCGCTATTCTGTCTTTTCATTTGATTTCAACTATGGCTGATATTTTATTTAATGTTTTTCAAGAACTTTGAATTTGCTCTCCCTGGAAAGGAAAATAAATTATCTACAATTTCTTCCCTAGAATAATGCTCACACATTAAAAAAGTGTTAACATATAGTTTTCATATAGTGTCTTTCTTTCTTTTTCTTTTTCTTTTTTTTGAAACAAAGTCTCGCTCTGTTGCCCAGGCTGGAGTGCAGTGGCGTGATCTCTACTCACTGCAAGCTCTGCCTCCTGGGTTCACGCCATTGTCCTGCCTCAGCCTCCTGAGTAGCTGGGACTACAGGCGCCTGCCACCACGCCTGGCTAATTTTGTGTGTTTTTAGTAGAGATGGGGTTTCACCCTGTTAGCCAGGATGGTCTCGATCTCCTGACCTTGTGATCCGCCCACCTCGGCCTCCCAAAGTGCTGGGATTACAGGCGTGAGCCACTGTGTCCGGCCAACATATAGTTTCTTTTGATAAGGTTTGACTATCTGAGGAAATTATTAGGAGAAAACTGTTCTGTATTTGTTAATTTTTCTAAGTATATATTTTCAATTATTGGATTTAAATTGTTCAGTAAGGTGAGTTTGATCATAAAATAATTCTTCTATGAAATATTACTTTCAAATTTCCATGGCTCTTTAAGCATAAAGCTGATATGTTTAAAAGTTAATTTTTGGAAAACCGCTTGGTATATTCACATACAGTATTATGCTTTCTAAACATAGAAAGTCTTTAAAACCTTTCAATTAGACTATTTGCCGTCAAATGCCAAGTATTTATAGACATGCACTATCTTCTATTGAATGAGAAATTGTTTCTAAAATTGAAAACATAACATGTAACATGTTCATTAAAAAAAGAAATATAATAAAATCCTATGGCTAAAGGAACAGATAACCCATGACTGAGGATTCCGTTAACACTTCCCTAGACAGTAACTTTCATGGTACAGACTAGAAGGTGAGTAAGATTAAAGCCTCTCAGCTTTAAATGACCAAACCTATTTAACTGAGCTTTGAGTTTGGTGTGTAAGAACTGTCACCTAATTAGATAATGCAAATATTACTTATAATGTGGGTATTTTGAAAATGTTAAACTTAACACTTTGAGAATTTCTTCCATTTTTTCACTTAAATTGCTTTCAGGTTTATATAAGTAGTATAATACAGTAAGTATAAACTCTTCATCCTGGTGTTTAATGCTGTCTGAAAGCTGCAAACAACGTTTCCATTTTTACCCTGAATTTAGCCCATCTTCCTAGCAATCTTGACTGCTTTCTGTTCCTAACATGAGTCTTCTCCTTGTTAACTCTTTTCCTTTGGTTTTGCAATCTTCCTCTCCTAGAAGTCATTTTCTTTCCCCATTTACCTAAATTCTGCCTGTGTTTCAACCTTTATTTAATTGACTATCTATATCTTGAAGTTGCATCTAAATTTTTTTTAGAAGTTCCAGAATTTCAATTTTTATTTTATGTTTATGTTTAGGTTTAGGGGTACATGTGCAGGATGTGCAGGTTTGTTACATGAGTAAATGTGTGTCACGGGGGTTTGTTATACAGATTATTTCAACATCCAGGTATTAAGCCTTGTATTCATTAGTTGCTGTTCCTGATGCTCTCCTTCCTCCTACCCTCCATCCTCCAACAGGCCCCAGTGTGTGTAGCTCCACTCTATGTGTCTATGTGTTCTCATCATTTAGCTCCCACTTATAAGTGAGATCATCCAGTATCTGATTTTCTATTCCTGTGTTAGCTTGGTACGGATAATGGCCTCCAGCTCCATCCATGTCCCTGCAAAGGACATGATCTTATTCTTTTTTTTTTATGGCTGCATAGTAATCTATGGCGTACAGGTATCACATTTTCTTTATCCAGTCTGTCATTGATGGGCTTTTGGGTTGATTCCATGTTTTTGCTATTGTGAATAGTGCTGCAGTGAACACAAGCATGCATGTGTCTTTACAATAGAATGATTTACATTCCTTTGTGTTTATGCCCAGTAATAGGATTGCTCGGTCAAGTGGAATTTCTTTCTTCCTTTTTAAATTTATTTTTAATTTTTAGTTTACTTTAAGTTCTGGGATACACGTGCAGAATGTGCAGGTTTGTTACATTGGTATACATGTGGTATGGTGGTTTGCTGCACCTGTCAAGTTGTCATCTAGGTTTTAAGCCCCACGTGCATTAGGTGTTTGTCCTAATGCTCTCCCTTCCCTGATTTTAGGTATTTGAGGAATCGCCACACTGTTTTCCATGACAGTTGAATTAATTTACACTCCTCCCAACAGTGTGTAAGCATTACTTTGACTCCACAACCTTACCAGCATGTGTTATGTTTTTAGTAATAGCCAATAATTTTAATGTTTAAAAAAGTAATAAGTCGCTAGTCAAGGAAATGCACATGGAGATTGTGATGAGATACAGTTCCATACTATTACACTGGCAACAATTAAGAATTCTGTCTGAACCGAGTGTTGGAAGGCATGTGGATAAATTGGATCGTTTATACACTATTAATGTTAGGGAAGGGTTGTAAAATGGTACAATCGCTTGGGAAAATAATTTGATACCATCTTGTAAAGTTAAACATTGACTTCAACTCAAAAATTCTGAGAGAAATTCTTATGTGTCTTTGTTTTTATAGGTATATTTATATTACATAAAGTATACTTTTGTATTTTCGTCAAGCTTACCACAGCTGCTTAGTTTTTTTGCTCTCTGTCAATAAAAGATCAATAATGAAGCAAGTTCTGGGGTTCTGTTTTATCTTTGTTTTGCCTCTGGGGTTATATACAATGTTTTTAGCAGCTCTGTTTGCAACAGCAAAAACATGGAAACAACCCAAACACTGAAGTCAATTGACAGAATAATTGGTACATAAGCTGTAATATATTTACACAATGAAAAAACTATTTGATCTTTTACATCACCTACCCTACATGATGTAACAGTTTAGTTGCTGGTGAGTTTCGCTAGTCCTATTTAAATCCTTGAGGATTAGGACAATGTTTTACTCACTTGTGACTGTGAAGGCATTCCCATGATGTTTTGAACTATTAACATCCATTAAAATAGATCTGTTGGTATAATATGCAGCATGATCAATGACGGCCCTTAACTGAAGTGCACACTAAAAAGAATGTTTAAATAAAGTATAACGGGTGCAGTGGCTCACACCTGTAATCCCAGTACGTTGGGAGGCTGAAGTGGAAGGATTGCTTGAGCCCAGGAGTTTGCGACCAGTAATGTAGTGAGACTTTGCCTCTATTAAAAATAAAAAAATTAGCCAGGTGTGGTGGTGCATGCCTATGCTCCCAACTGAGGCAGGAGGATCACTTGAGCCCTAGAGGTCAAAGCTGCAGTGAGCCATGATCACACCACTGCATTTCAGCCTGGGTGGTGTCTCTAAATAAATGAATGAATCTGCTAACGAAGAACTTGAGTCTGAGAAAATGCCAATTAAAAACTGCCTGATGACCATTCCAACTTTACAAGACATAGACATTAGGGAATGTTCTGTGTCTTACCAAGAATCATTTTAAAATGAATCTTCAAGAATACCACATAAAATGAGCTTTTAAAAATGCATCTTAAAAGCTTTAATTTACACATATTTTGTGAAATCATACTACATATTATAATATACAAGGCACTCCTCCATTTAATATGCAATTAAAGACACTCATGTAATAATTCTCTACATTCAGTGAGCCCTAGATATGTGCCAGGTATTATGTTATAGGCTTTATAGAAACTGTCTCATTTAGTCATAAATGGTGCTATCATCATCCATTTTTATAGATGAGAAAACTGAGACTTAAATAAGTTAAACGTTGCTCCAGTGGGTACAGTGTTTCAAAATTGCACGATGAAAAATTCCTGGAGATCTGTTTCACAATAATGTGAATATTTTTAAAATTACTCTACTGTACACTTTAAAATGGCTAAGATGGTAAATTCCATGTTATATGTTTTTTATTACAATACATTTTAAAAAATTGCTAAAGGTCACACAAATAGTAAGTCAGGCTTACAGTGGCAAGCCTGGGCTTTTCAATACTGGATTTACTGCCTTTTTCTTAAGTCTGCACACAACCCCTTAGACTACAGTGAGAATTTAAAAGTCGAGGACTTATATGTTTGAATGTTATAATTAGTGAATTATCACAACATTGTTATCCAAAAAAGTTCAGAATAGTCAATTTAAAATGAAATCTCGTAATGACTTCTTTGGATTTAACTAGTATTAATACGTTTTCCATATTAAGTTTTTATTTTCCTCTTTGTATATACATCTTTATACATCAATAGAACAACCCATTTATATATTGCTATGAAGAATTCAGGTAAAATCTTGTTTGTGGTATTGCATAATTTTTTAAAGTATCTACTTTTGCCAAATGTCTGAAGCAGTAAAGCGCATTATGAAAATGTTTCTACGCATGTTGATAAAGGTAAAATTCTATCCCAGGAAGATTTTTTAATAGACTCCAAGACCAAGTGTATTGGTTAGGAAGTCACTCCTTTTGATATTTGACAAGAGTTTCTTTGGTATTTCGTTAATACAAATGAAGTTGACCATGTAAATTGAAGGAAAAACTTTAGATTTTAATTTTTTATAAATATTCTGAGACTTAGAATGGTTAAATGGTTTGCTTAGTTTCCTGACTCCTACTCTCTAGTGGGTGTTTTCTTTTTCACTAGTCATTACATAAAACATTTGATTTCTATTTTATAAAAAATAGACCCAGCACTTTGGGAGGCCGAGACGGGCAGATCACGAGGTCAGGAGATCGAGACCATCCTGGCTGACACGGTGAAACCCCGTCTCTACTAAAAATACAAAAATTAGCCGGGCATGGTGGCGCGCGCCTGTAGTCCCAGCTACTCGGGAGGCTGAGGCAGGAGAATGGCGTGAACCCGGGAGGCGGAGCTTGCAGTGAGTCGAGATCGCGCCACTGCGCTCCAGCCTGGGCGACAGAGCGAAACTCCGTCTCAAAAAAAAAAAAAAAAAAAAAAAAACAGAGTATAAAAGGCATTTTTTTCCTTTAAACTAAGTAAAATATAATGTTGAATAGTTCTATTTTGCTTAACGGGCTTTTGTTATTTGTTTTGTGTAGAAATTGGCATTTTTCACATAGAAATCTCTGTTTTCAAGTTATTAGTTCTCTTTGCTGGCACAAATAATGTTGAAGGGATCAAGGGCTCCTGTTACCTTTCAATGGAGTGAGAAGGCACTCTGTTCAATTGACTTGGCTGTCAGTGACCTCTGAATATAGGTTACAAGCCATTTAGGTGAAGACAGCTCGTTTGGCAATGAATATGCAGTTGCTCATGATTTTAGATGGAATTGAGAGAAGGTTTTACTAGGTGTCCCTACAGGTGAGACCGAGATGTACTATTCGACACATACCACATCTGAGATTGCATGCAAATCATCTACAACAGGCTTGATATCCACTTTATTCAAAAAGGAAGAGGATCAAGGGCTCACATGCTAATAAGATTAAGAGGCAAAAATTATCCAAAGTGAAATCAGAAGAACTTCTAATTCATAGGAATAAACTTTATGGCTGCAGAGAAATCTGAACTTAATTGAATTTCTACATAATACCCAGTTGGATCTCCAGCTAAAAAGAGAAGTAGCTTTTAGACTTTGAGTGATTTTCAGAGCACAGGGACTCTGAAGGGCTGGTGTCCTTTCAGTGGGTGCTTCCATCATTGCACAGGGAGCAACATATTATTTCCTGTGCCTGATAAAATTAAATAAAATGCAATAAAACACTTTATATGGAAAAGGGTATTTATGTTTCTAGATCTGTTTCCAGCTACTCAAGCATGAGACACTTTTTTCTAGGGTTGAGTAACTCTGCTGGGAATTGGGACTGGATTCTTTTACCCTGCACAATCTCTTTCAACTTTAAGCTTTTAAAATATACTTCGATGATGATTATAATTCAGGAAAATGAACTAACTCAAAGACTACTTTATCTTTTTTCAATTAAGAGTAGGTAGCAGATTATATCTATGTCTAGAAAGTCAGCTCCAACAGGAAGCATTTAAGTCTTTCTTGTTATCTTTTGTCTAGGTAAAATTGTTTCTGTTGTTTTAAATTATTGTTCTTCATTATTTATATTGCAGATAGCCTCATAATTTGTTTGTTAGTCTAAATATTATCTGAATAATCAATTTAATACTTAGAATGTTAGAATACACACAGCTACCAAATCATCTAAATTTTGTAATTTTTATTTATTCAAAACATTTCACTGGATTACACAACTGTGCCTCTTTTGTTGCATTAAACGAATCATAGATGTTTCACAATTTCTTACTTCTTCATTCATTTTATATAGTCCATATCAAAAGTCTAGTTGATGTTTTTTATTCCTATAGGGAGCTCAGAAATGTAATATGGATCCCTTGTAAGACTATATACAAAGATACTAAAACACTGCATAGTTCAAATACATCGACTATTCTGCATAAAACACTTTTCTATTTGCTTTTGAAAGAGCGTGCATAGAAAGTTTAAAAAAACAAAACAAAACCCAGTCACCTGGATTCCAGGGACACATGATCTGGTGGACTCTTTCATTTAAAGTGGGTTTTCAAATTCCCCAGTCTGTTGAAGAAGAAAGCACTTTAGAGTTGGGGCACTGAGAAAGAATTTTAGTTATGGTCACAGAATGGTCTCTGAGAGGTGGAAAGCTGGTCTCTAAGCAGGGGTGGAAAGTTGTCCATTTATCCATTTTTCTATTAGATGTGATTTATTCAAGGCTGGGAAATTGTGCTTTTTCCTTTTTTTTTTATATCTTTGGGGAAGAGGAAGTGCTCAGTGAGGTTTGTTGTGTAAGTGACCAACTGAATAAATGAAATTGAAGCTGTAGATCAAATGTGTCCTTGAGCAGGAAGAGACAAGTCATGTATGAAAGTCAAGGTGGCCAGGAAACTTTAGATCTCAGGCAGGCACAGACAAGGTGTGTCAGAGAGCAGGTATATAATATTATTTATGACAAAATAACTTCAGTCTGCACATGGAAAAAAATTTAATTACTGATCATCTATCATATTGACAGAAAGTTTTTCAATTGCCATTTAAAACGTTCTTTGAATGATAAACCACTCAGTTATCCAAACTGAAGTGTGTCATTTAGATGTCCTTTTTCCTGGCCACAAAGATTTAAATACTTGGCTGCAGTATTTTCGACTGGAAACAAATATCTATGATGAAATTACGTAGTTCACTCTTTTCTAGGTTAATGCCAACTAAGATACTTAAATCCTAGGTATGGTAAACCATGTGCAGTGGACTGAGAGTTTGCATCCCCCCAGAATGGAAACATTGAAATAGAAGCCCCTAGTTTGTGGTATTGGGAGATGGAGCCCTTATGGATGGGATTTGTACCTTTCTAAAAGGAATTGTGGAGAGCTTCCTTGCCATCTTTTCACCATGTGAAGATACAGGAAATGAGCAGTGTGCAACCTGGAAAGAAAGCCCTCAAGAAAAGCTGATCCCAGACTTCAAGTCTCCAGGATTCTAAGAAATAAATGGTTGTTGTTTATTAGCCGCCTAGTCTAGGGTACTCTGTTACAGTGTTGCAGGACTTTTCCTTAGTCAGCTAAAGACAGGGTTCTTTGTTCCACCCCATGAAAATTCAGGCTCACAGATAATTTGAAAGGTGAGTGAGACAGTGTTCTATTGGGTGAAAAGGAAGAAAAGGGGAAAACAGTGACTCTCGTTTGACTGGAGTCCCTGCTAGAGAGTTTCCTACCCGCTATTGGAATCCCTGATTCCACACAGGAAGAGGCAGGCTCCTCCCCCTGCAAACGTCCTGAACTTTCCAAGTCCCCACCTCAGTGGGCAGGCTGTTGGAGTTTCTCTGAGGACACCCTCCTCCCTGGCTGTCTCATTTCCCCCTTTAAAGAAGTACATCTAACTGCCCTTAGATTAGGGATAAGGGCGAAGACCAATCTTAACTGCTTCTTGCTGACAGGGGGCGCTGTTTTGGGGGAAGCGGCAGTCAGAGCTTCCTTAGAGGCCTATTTAAGGGTTCCCAGCAGGGGCCATTGTTAGAGGCTATGGTTGCATGACTAGAGTTTGATGGCCTGAAGGCAAAGACAGACAAACCAGATTATTAGAAAACATGTATCAAAACAAAACAAGGCAAGGGGTAAAGACAGCTCATAAATTCCCAGGCCTTTTACCAGTTTACACAGGAGTGGGAGGCTAAAAGCCTGAATGACAAAAAAACTTCAGCCTTTTGCCAGCATGCTGAGCTTCTGGGTTCCCTTCCCCCAAGCCCAATCCTAAACCAACTAGTTTAAGGTTTGGGAAATTAACTCTTCCCAGTTTGGAGGATGCATCTGAGGGGAGGGTCCCGTCATATGGAGACACAATTGCCTAACTGAAGAAAGGACAGAGGAGGAGAAAAGAAAAAGAAAGCACTTTTCAAAGGAGTCCCAGGGGTTCAGGATGCATTCGAAATGGGTACAGACTGAAGATGAATGGCTACCCATCTAGAAAGAGGGGAACAGGTGTCCCTGGTTCCCTTCTCTTCCTAGCAGATACCGGGGGTAAGTGATGGAGACAGGGAAGAGCGTCTTCTCTCCGTCTTCCATCCTTGCATCCCCGAGTTCCAGCGACCTTGGCAGGTACTGCCATGAGTACCAAAGCAGCTCACGCCCATGAAGCAAGGGTTGGGTTGTGGGGGGAGCTAGAGAATAGGGAATTCTCTGCTCGAATAGGGAATTATCTGCTCTCACCTATATCTCTTTCCTACCGTCAGTAGCCTCTGCGTTCCTAGACCTCGTTTATGCCATGGACAGTAATTTGGTCTTTACCCATGAAACAGGAAGCCTGGGGTTGGCTTAATCGTCAGGAATCAGCCACGCTCACCTGCGCTGTGCCTTTTAAGCTCTGTTGTCATCTGCCTCTGAATCCCTTAGACCCAGTTTTCCTTCCTAGGGCTCTGACCTGAAGCTTGGAATTGAGGCTTGGACAAAAATGTATCTTGGGAGGTGGGGGTGTCGCATGGATTCCTTAACATAAGCCAAATGCTAAGGTGAAATTGTGAAATTGAGTCCTCCTCCAACAAGAGAGAGGAAAGGATGTCTTGTGACATACCCAGATAGCTGGTGGCTATAGTTATGCTGCAAAGATTTGGGTGTTATTGTGCTTGGCTTTGGTTAGCTCCCTTGGTCTTACTTTCCCAAAAAGAAACCGCCAAGTGATGGGCACCCTATTTATTCCCATGACCTGGCAGGATTTGCAGGATCATTGGTCAGAACTAGAATATTGATCAGGATTTGTACATTACCCATCCCTCGTGTTCTTTCTGATCTACAGCCAGAGGTTGCTGGTTGGTTCACAGGAACAAGCAGGGTTAGCCTAAAATATAGGCAAAAACTTAAGACAACTAGTGAGTTTAGAATTTAATGACAAATATATAAGTTTGAAATATAATTTGCCTCTCTCTAGACCGTATTTTTTTTTAAACATCCCAAATTATAAAAAGGACTGAGTGGTTTGCAAAATAGCCTTTAGTCTTACACTTGGTCTGTTTATTTGCATAAAGCGCAGAAAGAATAATTATTTCTGCAGAGGCCTTTTGGTTTGGCTTTGATGGAAGTCTGTTCCACAAGGAATCTCAGCTAAGACCTTTTAAAGCTGAGCACAACCATGGGTTTGCATCCTCAAACACCTGAGTTGGGTAATTCTCTCCTCTTAAGTCCCAAGATGAACTTGGAGCTCCTAGACCTGTTAGAAAGTGACAGTCTTTACTGACCACAGGTCAAGAACCCTGTACAGGGACTACGTAGATGAGGACGTGAGGCCAGTTTCCTCCATGAGGCTTTTCTCGGCTCTGCAAGTCTAGATTGACACCTTAAAGGGAAGCATACCTATCCAGTCAAAGCCTTGGTAAAATAATCACTTTCTCCAATTGTGTTCTGTTGCAAAAGAAAAATGGATTCTTATTGCACTGATGCAAATAGCCTTATTGCCACGAGGATACTCACAGATAGTTTCCAAATTTTAGAGGAACCAGGCAGAGAGAAACAAACATACTCCAAATTTTGATCACGGGGGTATACCTTACTCAATTATTAAAGGTCATAAATAGTTAAAAAATAAGTTTCCTTGACTCTGAAAAAAAAACAAAACAAGAATCAGCAATTTTCTAAACAAAAGTCAAAAAGATTCGCTTCAGCTTCCTGAGTTCAGTCCATTTAGTTAACTCGAGTTTTGCTTGATATTCATGAACATTTCAGCTCTTTGTGAATCCTGTACATTTTCCTTTATTCCAATGTTACAATCTCTAAAGTTATCAGAAGGCTGTATTTGAGAGCACCTGTTAATGTTCTATAACTCATTATAAACCACCCTTGAAGAGGATTAAAACAAGACAACAATTGTCTGTGAATAGCAAAATGTGCAGGGTAGTTGCAGTTAGAAACACAATTGACAAATAAGTTTGGTTATCTCTGTTGTTTACAATATCTTAACATAAACCTTAATTATGATTGATAGCATATACTCAGACATTAGAATTTTTAGAAATCCCATATAAGTTTGCAATATATATTAGCATTATTCACCAAGATAAAACCTAAAGAAGGTTGTGCATCGGCCAGGCGTGGTGGCTCACACCTGTAATCCCAGCACTTTGGGAGGCCAAGGCGGGCGGATCATGAGGTCAGGAGATGGAGACCATCCTGGCTAACACGGTGAAACCCCATCTCTACTAAAAAATAGAAAAAACTAGCTGGGCATGGTGGTGGGCGCCTGTAGTCCCAGCTACCCAGGAGGCTGAGGCAGGAGAATGGTGTGAACCCGGGAGGCAGAGCTTGCAGTGAGCTGAGATCTTGCCACTGCACTCCAGCCTGGGCGACAGAGCGAGACTCCGTCTCAAAAAAAGAAAAAAAAAAAAAAGAAAAAAAAAAGGATTGAGCATCATTTTGGCAATCCCATGTACCTGAACATGTCAAATAATCCTGTTTACCTTTCTTTTCTGGAAATTCCACGGGCCCTTTGAAGAATTCAAAAAGCCAGGTGCCAGGGAAGACAATTTTGAAACTGGAGTTTGATTTTGGGAAGGCTATTAAATGTTCGAGGTTTAAAACACTCGATATTATGAAATAGAATCCAGATTTCCATAAATTATTTATTTTGCCAAAATGATAACTCAGAAATGTTGAAGAAGCAAAATCCTTTTACAACCCTTTAAAAATTTTGCCAAAAAGAAGATTCACACCTTGGGAAAACCTTGTTATGATTTTATTTCAGTGCTCAATTTACAGAAAAACCATATGACACCCTTTTTGAATATAGTCGATATGTTCACACGGAGAAGCTCTTCTGCAAGATTAATTTCCACAATTCCTCCACCACTTCTTTGCAACTTCAGCTTTTTCCTAACTCAAAATACTTTAACCCTAAGCAAAAGGTTACATTTCCATACCTTCTTATAACCTTTGATTAAAAAACACATTTTACTGTTCTCATACACCTTGCGTGTAAATATATTTCTAGTAGTTTCAATTAACTCCTAGCAATTTTGAACTTCAAGGTAAAACTTGGTAAGTTGCTTTAATTGTGTGCTAACTGCAGCCAAGGTATGGCTTCTTAGTTGCGGGGTAGTTAGTTCCATATGTCCCCAGGCCATATCAAATCTAAAGCCAGCATGTCAAATAGTTCTCAAAACCCAAAAAGCAGTTTGTAACCTCAAAACACCTGGCAAACCTTGCTTCTGACCCGCATGTTGCATGTTACCAATAGTCTTTAGGGCTGTTTTTATTTATTAAGGTTAAAGTCACGTGAACTGAAAGGTTCCACAGCTTTTTTCTTCAGGCCAAATTAATTAGAGGTTTTTTTTGGTGGGGGCGGGGAGGACAGAGTCTCGCTCTGTCCCAGGCTGGAGTGCAGCAGTGGCGTGATCTCGGCTCACTGCAACCTCTGCCTCCCGGGTTCATGCATTTCTGCCTCAGCCTCCTGAGTAGCTGGGATTACAGGCATGTACCACCACGCCTGGCTAATTTTTGTATTTTTATTAGAGACAGGGTTTCACCATGTTGGTCAGGCTGGTCTTGAACTCCTGACCTCGTGATCTGCCCACCTGGGCCTCCCAAAGTGCTGGGATTACAGGCATGAGCCACTGCGCCTGGCCTAATTAGAGCTCTTTTGACACACATCACACAGTACACACACAGGCAGAAGAAAACCCAGTTGCTGGGTGGGGCCCTTTAAGAGACAGGGCTGGGAAAACATGCAGGTATCAAACCAGAAAGAAGCTTATTCCGTAAGTCAGGACTGCTAAGCAAAGCGTTGCCAAGGGGTTACAGCCATACCCGCAAGATGTAAAACAAGATGGAGGCTTGCAGCACTAACCATACAGACATGCAAAGCACACCAGATTGGCCACAGCCCAAGACTAGCCTCACAAACCCTTTTTCACAATTAAAGCTTTAAAGAAATTATCAACAGTGATAGTTGGGGAGCCTGGCCTAGTAAAATGTCTTCTTAAAAAAAAAAAAAAACTTGCTTAAAACTTAACTGCTGATGGGGTGGAGAAGAGGAAAAAAAAAAAAAGTTTAAAAATGCCTGGGGAAGAACCTCTTATTCTTAGGCAAGTGGTTCTTCCACCACGGAGATTAATTCAATTACTGTCCTAGGGAGTAAAACCCCTGGGCTGGGGAGGGCTCCAGCAGCAGCACGTGGCGGGGACTGCCAGTGGCTCCCAAACCCGTGGACCATGCGTCCCAGTCCTGTCATGGAGTGCGGAGTGGCTGGGAGCTGTTCTGTCATGGAGTGGGGAGCGGCTGGGAGCTGCTGCTCACCGGTGGGTCCTGTAAAAGGAAGAAAAAGGCATGGTATCCCCCACCCTCAGGATTCTGAGGTTGAAAAGGCGTAGAAGCAACAGTGAGAGGTTTTGAGTCCCCATTTCACTCACCACTTCTCAAGCCCCCACATTGGGCACCAAAAATGTTACAGGACTTTTCCTTAGTTCAGCTGAAGACACGGTTCTTTGTCCCATGGCCATGAAAATTCAGGCTTGCTGACAATTTGAATGGTGAGTGAGATAGGGTTTTATTAGGTGAAAAGATAGAAAAGGGGGAAACAGGAACCCTCGCTAGGTCAGAGTCCCTGCTAGAGCGCTTCCCGGCGGCCATTGGAATGCCAGGTTCCACGCAGGAAGCGGAGAGGCCAGCCTCCTTCCCCTGTAAACGTCCTGAACTTTCTGAGGCCCCACCTCAGTGGGCAGGCTGGCTGGAGTTTCTCTGAGGACACCCTCCCACCTGGCTGTCTCAATAGCAGCCCAAAAGACACCATGGTATGTAAAGTTGAATTTTTCTTTTGGACAGTGAAACTTAGTATACTATTTATCTAAACCTTTGCTTGTCATATTTTACTTATTAAAGGGCAAATTGCTGTAAATAATAAAGAAATATTTAAGAGTTATAAGAATCCTCCAGATCAATAGTACAAAAGTATGCAGTAAAAAGTAATTGTAACCAAATAAGTCGACATTAGTTAAACTTAGCAGTAATTTACTTTAGGGTCTCTAGTTAAGCAATAGCTATCAGACTTTTTCTTTAAGAAATAGGATAAGTAAAATCATATATTTTTATTAGAACTTCAAGATTAAATGAAGAAGAAAAAAGAAACCACACAGTCAATAACAAAACAAAACAGGGAGTGAAGGGAAATGAGTGAAGTCGTTTCCAGTATTCATATCTTCTGGCCTTTCAGTGTATATAAATGCAACTTAGCGTAATGGTAAACAGCATGGCTTCTAATCAAGACAGCCTGAAGGCTGAACCTTGGATCTCCTACTTAGTAGTTATGCCTCAGTTTCCTCAGCTCTGAAATGAAGATAGACTAATTTTTGTGTCTACCTCATAAGACGTTGTGTGGATTCAATGTGGTAATGCTTGTAAAGTGTTTAAAACGGTGGCCGACACATGATAAATGTTATATAAGTATAAGCCAGTAACAAAGAATGGCTGGATATGACTTTGCAAAGATGACCCCAAGCAAGAACTGTTACGTACAGAATCCCATGCAAACACATGTGTATAACAAAGGCGTCCAGTTCTTTGGTGATCTGTCTGCAGTCCTAGTCATAGCATACCTGAGAAATACAACTGAGCACGAAATGATTTCAAAATAATGTTTTGAAGGTTTTAAGACACAAGACATTTTATGCAAATTTACTGCTGCCTACTCCGACCACTTTTACTTCTCCTCTTTCATCTTCATTTTCCCTATCTCAGTTATTTAGACTGTTTCTGCAGTTTCATGATTTCCTTGCTATTGTAGGATAAATGTTTAGGAAATGTTTATAAACTTTCACTTTTAGGAACTCTCTATAAAGTATTAGAACTCTTTAGAGGTAAGATGCTATAAAAATCTAATAAATTACTAAATGGTTACACAGATCATGAGAGAAAAACATAGACATGGTAGGTTCAGAAGATGATGATAAGGTGTCCTGGATATAATCCACTTGAGAGAGCCAGAATTTTCCTAACTCTTATGAAAAGTGAAACACAGTTTTAGACTGAATTTGTTATTTCAAAGGCCGATGCCATAAGATAAGTGAAAAGCTGGAGAAGGGGCAGTTCTTTTCTTGCATTAACATTATCTGAGTATCAAAACACTTTGGAAACAGAACTGAGTCATGAAGGAGTATCTATCCACGTGACTTGTAGCTAAAGGATATATGGCTCTTTCTGAAAGTAATTTACAAGTAGCTGTAAGAAAGAAAAGTATCAGTTGTCTAAAATTTAAATGCCATTCTCCTGAATAACTCCACATAAAATGTTCCTTTGGGTTAGAGGTGGGACAGGTGCTGGCCACAGAACTTTTGGCCGTTTTTTAAAAAAATTCCTCGTTATTTATTTCTTTATGTGTCTTTAATCTATTGATTAATGCAAAAGCTATGGTATGGGTATGTCTTGAGTTATTTGTCCACTTTCTTAACAGGTCTAACAAAACATTTCCTCTTGTGAATTGATAAAATGAGGCACACAAAATATCATAGATGTCTTCATCCAATACAAACTTTGTTCAAGTGTAAGATTAAAATTCTTTAAGAAACTGATTCTGTTTACAGTAAATCTCTATAGGCATATAGTCAAGGCAGTTTGCCTCTTTTCACGCTGTTACCCAGGCTGGAGTGCCGTGGTGCAATCTTGGGTCACTGCAACCTCCACTTCCTGGGCTCAAGTGATTCTCGTGTCCCAGCCAAGTAGCTGGGACTACAGGTGTGCACCCCCACGCCCAGCTAATTTTTGTAATTTTTATAGATATGGGGTTTCGTCATGTTGCCCAGGCTGGTCTTGAACTCCTGGCCTCAAGTGATCTACATATCTTGGCCTTCCAAAGTGCTAGGATTATAGATGTGAGCCACGGCACCCAGCCTCTTTTTAATTTGTTAATTGCCAACTGTTTGATGTGACTTATTTGTATTTTGTTAAATGAGTAACATGGAAAAACCTTAGTTGAAATTTTTTGGTTTCTACTTTTTACAACATGTTTGCTGAACTTTTTTCTTTCCCCAAACTTGACTTTTTGCTTTAATTCATTCATTCATACAAATTTAATTCATTTCACAGAGACCCATTAAGCACCTACTGGACACCAGGCACTGCCCACTGCTGAGGATACAGAAGTAGGCAAAACACATACAGCCCTGGCCCTCATGAAGCAGACATCCTGATGGTGAAAAATTGAGGATGTCTAAGACAAATAAATAAAGTATATATGGTATAATGAGTGGGGTAAGTGCTGTGGAGAAAAATAAAGCAGAGAAGACAGACAAGGAGCATTTCAGGAAATGAGAAAGCTGAAATTTTAAATATGGTTACCTGGGAAAGACCTTACAGGAGAGTCGACAGTAGGGGAGGTAAACAAGGGAGTCATGGATGATGTAGGGGGAGAGCGTTTAAAGTCCATGATGTAATGTTGGAGTAGGTGGGTATATTCAAGGGACAGAAGAGAGTTCAATGGGGTTGGACCCACAGGAGGAGGGTGAAGAATGGTAGGAGGTGAGAGAGGGAGCAGGGAACCAGATCACCTAAGGATTTGAGAGGCCACTGCAAGATCTTCAGATCTTGCAGAGAAAGAGGCCGTTGAAGGACTGAGCAGGAGAGCATCATGATTTGACTTAAGATGAAAAGGAATGCTTGATCCCAGGAGCCCAGGAGTGAGCTCACACCACTGCACACCAGCCACTGTAGTGGCTGCACACCAGATTACGCCAGTGTACTCTAGGCTGGGTGACAAAGCAAGACTGTCTCAAGGATGCCTCTGCATGCTATGTTGAGAATAGACAGAATGGAGGCATAGACGGTGGCATGTGCCTTTTGGCCTGAGCACCTGGGAGGATGCAGTGGCCCTCAACTGACAAGAGCAGAGCACCAATTGAAGTCAGATTCATGGGGAAGATCGGAAAGTTAGTTTAGACATGTTAAGTCTCATATGCCTACTGAACACTTAAGTGGAGATGTCTGCTTTAATGTATAGTTTTAATGTGAAAATGTTTTCTACAAAGCCTAGAAAAATTGGGAGAGGGCTATAGGTAACCGAAAAAAAATGTTGAATATATAAATCACATGGCTACTTTTCCTTCTTTCAAAATTGACTCTCCTGGGGAATAGGGTTGTGTTGCTGGGTCCATCTACACTAGTGGACTGACTCCTGTTCAAAATTCTCGTCTCACACGTCTGTTCATAGCAGCGTTATTCACAGTAGCCCAAAGGTGGAAGCACCCAAGAGTCTATCAAAAGATAAATCGATAAACACAGCGGAGTAGATATGTAAAATGGAATATTATTCAAATTTACAAAGGATGGTGATTCTGACACAATATGGTCAATTGGATGAATTGCTACAATATGGACCAATCTTGAGGACATTATTCTGAGTGAAATTATCCTGCCACAAAAAGACAAATAATGTGTTATTGCACTTCCCTGAGATGTCTAGAGTAGTCAGATTCACAGAGACAGTTTAAAAGATACAGAGTTTCAGTTTTACAAGACGAAAATCGTTTTGGAGACTGGTTATACAACAATGTGAATGTAACACTACTGAACTGTACACTTAAAAATGGGCCAATATGGTAAAGCTTATGTTCTATGAATTTTACCACAATTAAAAGTGAAAAACAACAAAAAAATCAGGTCTTGATGCTGCTGTTCTGTCTCCTACTCGTCTATAATGAACACCTCTCTTCCTTTTTCCCCCTAAGTGCCTATTGGCACAAAGTTGTAGCACACTTACCATTTGCAACTTAATTTGTGAGTAGAGAAAGGCAGGAATTAGAGGGGTTACCCCAAATTCAGTGTCATATTACTGGTCCCAGAAAATTATCTGCCATTAAGCTGATTCAGACACCATCTGTGTGTGTGTGGCGGGGGTGGGGGGGAGGGTGGGGGGGGCGGGGGCGAGGGAGGGGGGAACAAAAAAAATAAAAAAACCTTCAAACTCTTTTTCCTCTGTTCTCACACCACTCACAAAAACAGTCAACAGGGAAGACTTCTATGATGAAATATATGGGAGAGGTTGCCCACACACCAGGCAAGCAATCAGTTCTGCAGTGGACACAAGCTGCATATCCTCCAATTCAACTCTGGCAGCATCTACCTGGAAGTAGCTTCAGATGCCACAGGTTGAGGGCTCAGTCCCCAAGACTGCTCCCCAGCTTTGGATGCCAGTCACAAGCCCAAGCCTCAGGAACTTCTGATGACTGGTTTCAAGTCAGAGTTCCCATGACCCACTCTTTGGGTTCAATTAATTTTCTGGAGAGACTCACAGAACTCAGGGAACCATGTTTTTTTCAGTTTCTTATAAAGGATACTAGAAAGGATACATGTGAAGAGTCACCTAAGGCAGTAATTGTGGTGGTGAGCTCCCATGCCTGCTCTCCGTGGACCACCCTTCGGGAACCTACATGTGTTCAGCTATCTAGAAGCTATCTAAACCCTTTGCTCTTGGATTTTTATAGAGGCCTCATTACCTAGGCATGACTGATTAAATCATTGGCCATTGATAATCAACTTGACCTTAGGCCCCCTCCCCTCTCAGAAGGCTGGTCTTTCAGATGTTCTGGTCTTTCAGGTGACCAGCTCCCATCCTGAAGCTACGTAGGGATTGCAGCCATCTGTTGATCATTTGCAGACAAAAACCATCACTTTGGAGATTTTAAGGATTTTAGGAGTTGTATATCAGGAAACAGGTTGAAGACCAAATATATATTTGACAATACTGCACTGCCATTACCTGACCACAGAGTGATTATAACCCTCCTTGAGTTTAGACTTCACATAATATTTCTAGGATCTTTCTCCCTGTCTAGATCTTTCTTTGTCACTCTGGGTCTCCTCATCCCTGTGACCCTCATCTTCCATCTCCAAAATTGTCTTTGGGGAAATCCTAAACTCCTTTACCTTTATTTTGTAGACCATGCCCTAGAGGCCTCACTATTTATATTCAAAGAACCTACCCAGATATTTTCCACATGAATTATACATTCTAAATGAATTATAAGTTCCAAATGAATTTCTAAATAAGAAGAATTATGACTCTTCCTTAGTATTCTGAATATGCTTCAGTAGGTTTTAGCATAAAGTAGTAATATTTTTTCTTCTTACTACTCATGAAAAATATTAAATCACACTATGCACCTTTTAGATTAAATATTGAAGAATTCTTTTTAACCCAAGTATATATCAAAAGTTACAGCTATGATTTATATTTATTGCTATATGCACATAAAAAATGCACAAAAATATCAGCCATGTGGAGAACAGCCTTCTTAGGACCTCAGATTCCACAAATAGCTAGCAAAAAAGGAAAAATTTAGGGTAGGGGTTTTGGCCTTTAGAACTGGGAAAAATGGATAACGGAGGATAAACAGAAAGAGAAACCTGGTATGGGGTGATATGGAGGAGGAAAGGGATTCCCTGATGAATGGGGACTATATCTTTTCACCATTTTTTTTTTTGTGGCAAACTAGAAAAATTGTGATAAGAGATGGAGTAGAGAAGAAATAAGAGAGATCTAGAGAAAAGGAGAAATGGTAAGGATTGGAGATGATACCATTTGTGTTTGCCAAAGGAAAGGGGGTGGTGAGAGGCAAGTGCATGGACAAAGAATGGAAATCTAGCAACAGCAAAACAAAAGTGAGGACAGTTCTGCCAGTCACTGGGCAAGAGCGGCCCTGGAATGGACCTGCGGAAGGCCGAGGGCCTGAGAAGGAGGAACAACAAGGCCAGATGGTCTCTACGTTTCTTTGTAGGCCAAATGGGTATTTTGCTCCATTTTTACATTTGTTTTTAGAAAGGGGAATAGATTGAATGCCATATTCCACTAGCATAGTTCAGCTAGTGGAGGTATACAGTAGTGCTAAGTGCTAGGTCCACAATGATCTAGTACTGTAAAGGTTTCATTCAGGGTGCCTAAGAGTGTGTCTGTGTCTGCATGTCCATGAGTGTAAGTGTGTTGTTTTGGAGGAAGAGACAAGACATGTTCACTTGTTCCAGAGCTGTAAGCCTAGTAGAACCAGGACATTAGTCTGGTGTGGTAGCCTCCTGGTCCTGAGTATTACAAGTGATGAAGGCATAAAGCATGAATTGAATCCGTGAATTTGTATGAACTCCAAATGGTTCTTGTTGTCATTGTTGTTGTTCTTTTTATTTTTTTCTTTGTAAAAAATGAAAAAAATTACGGGCTACTTTTTTTTTTTCCCCCTTAAGAGACGGTCTTGCTTTGTCACCCAGCCTAGAGTACAGTGGCGTAATCTGCAGTGTGGCTGGTGTGCAGTGGTGTGAGCTCACTCCTGGGCTCCTGGGGTCAAGTGTTCCTCCTGCCTCAGGCTCCCAAAGTGCTGGGATCACAGGCATGAGCCACCCTGCCTAGCCATGCGCTACTTTTATGAGAAAAATATCATATTGTGAGTAGGGAAAAATATTTATGGGTAAGTATAAAATGTCATCATCTATGTATGTAATATTGGGCCTTAGCAGAGCTGTTCAAGTATTTTTCTGCCTCTGCATCATTTTAGGCATCATTTGGGTACAGGTATGTATGCTCATGTAAATTGGAGGTTCACTGTTCATGTTTTTTTCATGAAAGATTCCCAGAGAAAAGAAACTATTTGAGAATATTTGAGAAGTGCTTGCTTTCTTTTCTCTTTCTTTCTTTTTCTTTTCTTTTTTTTTTTTTTTGAGACAGAGTTTCCCTCTTGTTGCCCAGGCGGAGTGCGATGCTGCATGCTCGGCTTACTGCCACCTCCGTCTCCTGGGTTCAAGCGAATCTCCTGCCTCAGCCTCCTGAGTAGCTGGGATTACAAGGCATCCACCACCACACTCAGCTAATTTTTTGTATTTTAATAGCAACGGGGTTTCACCATGTTGGCCAGGCTGGTCTTGAACTCCTGACCTCAGGTGATCCGTCTGCCTTGGACTCCCAGAATGCTGGGATTACAGGCATGAGCCACCGCGCCTGGCCGAGAAGTGCTTTCTTTACATTGGTATGTATTGCAAAGATAAGGAGCTTTGAGGAAATGTCTTTCAACGAGATAATGGACGTTTTCAGAAGAATGGTTTTGTCATTTCAAGCTGGGAAGGTGAAAGAAAGTTAGTGAAAAACAGCAAATCATGACAGTCAAGAACTCTGCAGCTTTTCAGGTATGTTCTTTCCAAGTACATTCTATCCAAGAGTGATTTCACCATGCTGATAAAATGAGTCTTTCTTGTCACGATTGGCAAGTTCTCTTAGGACAGGTGATAAGCCATTAAATCCCTCAAGGTTTAAGGCAATTATTTCTACCCTAAATGACAATTTATTTCTTATTTCTGCGTAGGAACTTTAGATTGCCTAGTGACAATCTAAAGCCCCTATGCAGAAATAAGGCCTCAGTCTTTCAGGACTCATAGTCTGCGTTTTTGGACATTAGCCATTTTAAAGTAATTAATTGAGTCTCCTTGAAAACTGGAGTGAAACATACAGAAAAAAATGAAAGTTACCTATAAATGTGGCATCTAGAAATAATCACTTTAAATATTTCAGCATTGACCTTCACTTCACTCTTCTATTTTTTTTTTTTTTTTTTGAGAGGGAATCTCACTCTGTCACCCAGGCTGGAGTGCAATGGCACGATCTTGGCTCACTGCAACCTCTGCCTCCCAAGTTCAAGCGATTCTCCTGCTTCGGCCTCTCGAGTAGCTTGGACTACAGGTGTGCGCCACTACACCTGACTGATTTTTTGTATTTTAGTAGAGACAGAGTTTCGCCATGTTGTCCAGGCTGATCTCGAGCTCCTGAGCTCAGGCAGTCCACCTGCCTCAGACTCCCAAAGTGCTAGGATAACAGGTGTAAGTCACCACGCTCAGCCCACTCTTCTTTATGCCTAAAGCTATATACATTTTTTCTGCAAATCAGGTTTATACTGTATATTCAATTTTGCATGGTGATCAATTATATCATGTATCATAAATATATTTAATAGGCGTTCTTCATGTCATTTTTATGTCTGCAGAGAATTATATTAATATGAATACAGCATAATTTTGCACACCAAACTTGTGGCTCAGTTATGACGTTTCCAGTTGGCTGGTTTCGTATACATTGCTCTACTCAACTTACTTGTGAATACATCTGTTGTGCTACTTTAATATTTTCTAGAATACTAAAAATTGAAGTTGCTAGGTCAAGATAGGAGTATTGTTTTGCATTATTTCAGTTGGCACATAATCATACATATTTATGGGGTACAGTATGATATTTCAATACATGCATACAATGTATAATGATCAAATCAGGATAATTATGATAGCATATTAATTACCTGAAACACTTATTTATTTATTTTTTGTGAGACAGGGTCTGGGTCTGTCACCCAGGCTGGAGTGCAATGGCGTGATCTCAGCTCACTGCAACCTCTGCCTCCCGGGCTCAAGCCATTGTTCCACCTCAGCCTCCCAAGTAGCTGGGACTATAGGCGTGCACCACCACACTCAGCTGATTTTTCTGTATTTTTAGTAGAAATACATGTTTCACCATGTTTCCCAGGCTGGTCTCGAACTCCTGGGCTCAAGCTATCCACTTTCCTTGGCCTCCCAAAGTGCTGGGATCTCAGGGGTGAGCTACCATGCTTGGCTGCATTTATCATTTCTTGGTGTTGGGAATATTCAAAATCGGCTCTTCTCACTATTTGAAATTATACAATATATTGTTGTTAATTAATTTTACCCTACACTGCTGTAGAACACTAGAGCTTATTCCTCCTATCTAGCTGTAATTTTGTATCTGTTAACCAACCTCTCATGTTCATCAAAAGGACTATAACTTTTTATACAAATTCTGGCAGGATATAAACAATGGGCATCAGAGTCTTGACTGACTGTCTCAGTCGAATTACTAAATACTCCCATTTTTTGTTTATAATTGCTTGAAGTGCAACTTTAAATGCAAAGCCCTCTTCAAATGGTTTCTGAAGGATGGTTGCTTCCTTTAATTTTCTTTACAAAATATTGATCACCTGTTACTTACAACTCAGAGCATATGGTGGCATTCTGAAGTTTCTGCCTCTATGATATATTGTACTGTTTACTCCATGATAGACTATTATTTGCTCAACATATTTGCTCTGCTGTCTGTACTGGGGTCCATCTCTCTGTGTCCCCTCTCTGGTGACCCTCTCTAAGGGAGATGTCTACTTTCCAGCCCTTCATAAGAGTCTTGGATGTGGGACACTCTGGCCACTGGAAGGGAGGCATGACCAGGCTGAGCAAAAGCTGGGTGGTCCCATTTTTGCTCCTTTCCAGAGATCAGCTTATTTCATGTAGGGTCTGCTGCTTTAGGTGACTCACAGCCCACAGGTACTTTGAGTGAGAAATATATCCTTGTTGTTTTAAGACACTTTGGTTTTAGGAGCAAAACTAGTGAAAGCTGACTGTGTTAGGTTGTCTTTGCCTTGCTATAAAGAAAAACCAGATACTGGATAATTTATAACAGGAGTCCCCAACCCCCAGTTCATGGCCTGTTAGGAACCGGGCCACATGCAGGGGGTAAGTGGTGAGTGAATATGACCTCCTGAGCTTCATCTCCTGTCAGATCAGTTGCATCTTTAGATTCTCATAGAAGCACAAACTCTATCGTGAACCGTGCATGTGAGGGATCTAGGTTGCATTCTCCTTATGAGAATCTAATGCCTGAAGATCTGAGGTGGAGTAGTTCTCACCCACCCCTACATCCCTGGAAAACTTGTCTTCCACAAAACTGGTCCCTGGTGCCAAAAAGGTTGGAAATTGCTGATTTATAAAGGATTATAAATTTAATTTATAATTAAACACAGGTTTAATTGACTCATGGGCCTGCAGGCTATACAGGAAGCATGGTGCCAGCCTCTGCTTCTGAGGAGGCTTGGAGAAACTTTTCCTCGCGGAAGGCACGGTAGGGGCAGGCACTTCACATGGTGAGAGCAGGGACAAGAGAGAGAGGGTGGGGGGAAAGTGCCATAGCCTTTTAAATGGCCAGAACTCAGAGCGAGAGCTCACTTAACCACCGAGGAGATAGTCCAAGCCTTTCATGAGGGATCTACCCCCGGGATCAAAATACCTTCTACCCGGCCCCACCTCCATCATTGGGGGTTACATTTCAACATGAGATTTGGATGGGGACATATGTTCAAACTATATCACTGACTAATACAGACTCTGTGATGTGTCTCTCTGTCTGGCAAGCTGTCTGGCATTCTCACGTTACTAAAGTGACGGAGTTAGTTGTATAATAACCTGGCTTTAAATATGAGGTGCACATTCCACTTTGGCTTCAACATGGACTTCAGTATATATGTTAGGCATATCATGCATTAGACATTTGTTTTAGTTGCAGCAGCTCAAAAGTTTTATGTTGTTTATTTTCATGCCACCCATGCACCTGGATTTACAAGAGAATTAATCCCTGATGGCTTTAGCTACCCGTTATGTGTAATGGATTCATTTATCTCCTGTACATCTAAAATTGTACTAATTATATATTATTCCTGGAAGTATTGAGACTGTAGTCTCTCAAATGATTTTCTCTTTTCTTTGGTTTAGATGAGAAACTCTGGTTAAGTTATTGACGGCCATTGAGCAAAATCTTTGTACCATTGGACAGTTTCATAATAACCTCTGATTTCTTTGAGGCTTGGAGAGTCCAAAGCGGGTCACCAAATTTGCAAAACCCTTTCCTCTACCCAGGAGACTGGAGCAGTGGGGTTGTTGACACCATCTGCTATGAACTTTCTTGGTCTGGGAATCACTATAGCAGTCAGGAGATTATTAGTCAGTTTATCTGATATAGGTACTTAGGAGGGTGTAGGTATTTTTGCTCTAGACAATACTAGTGTTCTTAATAGAGACATTAAACAAAAAGGACTTCTTTGTGAATAAGATACGTACTCTGGAGCAACTTCAATGAAATTCTCGACCAGGTAAGTTAACCATGTTTTTTTAAAAAGCAAAGATATCTCAAAGGAGTGTGATTTATATTCTCTCTGTTTTCTACTCGCCGTGCCTTCTGATTTTCTCAAGTTGCTGAAAAGATAATGGCTTTTCATTGCTCTTCTGTCGTGTTTCACAATAAGTTGCCTCCACCTGTTTTGACATCTGTAGTTTGGAGCTTGCAAGGACCTGCTTTTACTCAGTAGATGGATATTTTACCAGTAAGCATTGGCTGTTCTAACACCTTGTTTCTCCAGGTTATGTGTTTATTTCCTGTTAATTTTCTTCCACGTACTGTACTCGAGCATCCTGTACCACTGCCTTCTTTCTAAGCCTAAGATTCTTCTCAGCTTGAAACTTCCACTTATCCTTGTTTTTACATATTTTTTTCTGACCCTTAGTTCATCATGTTTTAACTATTCCTGCCTTGCTTTGTTCTTCCAGTCTTAGTAAAGGAACCTGTTTCCTGTGATTCAGCAATTATGAAGTACATTTCTAACAGCTTGACATCTTTATTATTAGAAGTCCTGTCACTTTCATGCTATCTCAGGACATCTCAGTTTTTAACAAACAAAATCCAGAAAAGTGATTCTTTCAAAAGGAAATTAAAGTAATAATAAAACACCCCTTTTATTATTTTATGATACTTTCTTATTTTACTTCAAACCTTTGCTTAACCACAGTTTTAAAGGCTGTTGAATCACTTAATATCACGTCAGGTCGTTGGCTTTTCAAATCTTTTTTTCCCCTTAGTGTATGTGGTTTACACATGGATTAACCGCTTCAAATGCTTTTATTAGAATCAAGAGTTCTCTGAAGATGAAAAAGCCAGTATATTGATGGATCATTACAGAGTTGAAAAACAGGGTTACTGTTGGAAAATTCATTCATTGACTTCTTAATTCAATATATTTATTCAGTGCTTAAGTCTTATTGATACTGCTGTGAGGCATCAGTATTTTTTCTTAATCTGAAATATTATTAACTGTGTCATTATATAGTTGGCTCTTTATGTATGTGTATACATGTACATCCAAGTGAAAATAGTTTGAAGTATTTCTCTACTTTAAAAATAATGCATTCTTTGTGAAAATGTATTCAGATTTCTATATCATAAAGATATTTTATTCAGAGAGGACTAAAAATTAAAGAAGTCCTATTTAGGCCTTTCACATTTTCAACCTCATTCATTTTCAATGTTATATTTTCCAACTTTTCACTGATATTATTTTTGAACATTTCTCCCATAGTTGAACATATCATTATTTCAATAAGGGATTATGTATTTGTAATCTATTGTAGCATATCAAATGACTCCAGAGTTGAATGGCTTGAACAACAAATACTTATTTTCAGTTTATGTTGGGTGAGATTCCAGAAGTAGCTTAGTGGGGATAGATTTGGCTCATGGTCTCTCTTGGAGTAAAACTATTGGCTGGGGCAGCTTCATCTGAAGCCTTGATTAGAATAGGAGGGTCTATGTGCAAGAAGCCCATTCACGGGATTGGCAGTTGGTGTTGGTTGTTGGTTGGCGTACCGCAGTAGTCCTCTGAATAGACAGCCTCCATCCTCCGAGGCCGCTCCAGCGAAGTGTGTGCGTGAGTGTGTATGTGTGTCTGTGTGTATGTACATCAGAGAAAGAGATAGAACGTAAGATAGAAGCCAATAGGTCCACCACTTAGTGCCCATAATTTCTGCCATGTTCTATTAATTAGAAGCATGCCAGTAGGTCAAGTCCACACTAGAGGAGAATGAATTACACAAGGGTGTGAAAATGAGAGGGCAAAAATCACTGGAGGCCATTTTAGAGACTACCCACCAGACTTTAGTCAGCTGCAAATAGTAAAGAAAACAGAAAACAAAAAAACCACAGCCTTAGCTTAAATCAAAGGAGAATTTATGGAAACAAATACGTGTTATCTTCCAGAAACCAAGCAGGAAGTATAGTTATGCCTGGTGAGAGAATTTAGGAAAATAAAAAGTCAGCTTCTTTGTTTCTCTTGATACAATTTTTTCTCATCTCTGCCTCTTGTTTGGTGTCCAGGTGAAAAAGGGCCTCCAGAATCCCAACATACTTGTTCAGTTCAAGTATCAACAGGGACCGACTTCAATTGCTTTATATACTCATTAACACAATCAAACCTTGTTCCAGTCAACTCTGTGCGTGAGTAGGGAGGGGGAATTAGGTTTGGGAGGGTTCCAGAGGATGGGAGTGAATCACGTGGCTTTACCTATGCTCAGCAGGGTCTATGGCCCCAGGGCATCGAAGGAAACCTTTTCAATGGAGAAACTGAGGTCAATTAATTAATGCATTAAATAACCGACTGACTTAAATTCAACCAGGGTCTAACTGAAACTTTTTATTTTATATATTCAGAATAGCTGACAGTTTTAATTTTTTATCAATTGTAATAACTTTGTAAAAATTATTCATTTTTATCAAACATATTGGTATGTTTATTTCTGATTCGCACTGTTTTATAAAGTAATGGATAAAGCAATACACAGTCCTCATAAAATATCCAGACAATAGATAAATTTGTAAAGAAGGAAATGAAAATCGCTCAAAAATCCACAAGCCACATTTTGATTGTAGAGCCTTTCAGACTTTTTCATAATGAATATTTTGCACAGGTGGCTGTTTGACAGCTTGCTTTTTTCCTTTGCAGACACACTGCAGATTTTTTTCCATCTAACTAAATATAGACAAATACAATTATTTGTAATGACTACACTGTACTCCTTGGCATGGTTTCCCATGATGCCTCCAGGTCTCTGTTGATGCACATTTTTGTTTTCTAGTTATTCTCTATTATCAACAGAATATCCTCATACTGTATCTTTGGACACTTCCGTGGTTATTAGTGTGTATTTTTAGAAGAATTGCTGGGTCAGTGAATATGCATTTGAAATTTTTAAACAGATTGTCAAATTACCCTCCAGGAAGGCTTTTTTTTTTTTTTTTTTTTTGTAGTTTATAGTTATACCAGCAGTCGTTAAAGGTGACTGTTTTCCTCCACCTCATTAAAGCTGGCTATTCTCAATATTTTCAATCTTAGCAATGATGTAAGTGATAAATGATATTTCATTGTTGTTTTAACTTGCATTGAAAATTCCATCCTTAAAGCAGGAGGGTTGGCTAGAGCATATCAAGTTGTCTGTCAGAGCCTTGGAGGCTGGAGGAAATGCAAAAAGCAGGGCTACAGAAGATTTTTTGGTGCATTTTAATTCAAGTAACTTGCCACTGCTGAACTGGTACTAGGTTTGCAAAATCAAGTTCATAGTCCTATCTGGTGGGGACATCAGTAAGAAGTCCAGTTAGACTTTCTGTCCTGTGAGCTTTTTATTCTGCACACCAATCCTCCATACTTGAATTTGCACTAAATTGGTGACCAGTTACTTGTCAAATTTCAGCCCTGTCCCTTTCCCTTCCAGACCTCATCCCATATAGGATTTAATGGGATAATGTTTGAAGGATAGTCATTTAGTCAATAATAAAAAAAAATAAGAATAATGGCTCCTTTCCAGCCTGGTTTCCAGAGCCTCTGACCTGCTGTGGGGAAGGACCACCGGTGATTGCATCTTCAAAACAGGGACACTTAACAGACACTTACAGAATTCCCTCCTTTTGCTTTCTGCAGCAGGAAAATCAATTCTGTGTAGTGTCCTGTGATTTTCTTTGCTTTGGCTCACACAGCAGTATATCTGTGATACGTGTTTGCTTTTACTCCTGATTTCAGTGCTCGTGCAGTATTATTCCCTGTTCTTGCTTTTCTTTGGCCTTTCAGTCAGTCTTTTGTCGACTATGACAGTGTGAGGGGCAAGTGGTAATATGATTCTTTCACTCTCCTCTTTCCTGGCAGTTAATATGTTGGAATTTAATTTTGTTATGGCAACCCACATCCAATTTTTGTATCAGCTTGTGTCTGAAATTCAGTTATAAGTCAAGCATCCAGGCTTGCTTGGAGAACTCGTATCAGTGTCACCTGAGAAACTTGAAAGGGTGAAGCATCTTCTGTCTTCACACCTATTAGCCGTAGTATAAGTGAGACTCAACAATATCGTAAATTCAGGGGTTGTATTAATCAAGCAAAAATAATTGATGGTAACTAGACAGAGGATATTTAGGACAATGGGGAGCAAATGGCCTTGCAATTCCTATGACTCCGGAAAAGGCTGCTTCAACCTTCGATTTGCTAATTAACTATGGAGTAGTGTAGTCATGCTATAATACCCAGGAGGTCACACAGCTGCACACTTAACTCACTTTTATGTCAAGGCAGCAAATGAGCAAAAATCAAACTGACATCGAGGCATCTTTTTCCAGAATGAAGTTCATTAACCATCAGTGAGCTCCTGAACCTGATGTCCGATAGCAACTTAATGTCCATCAAATCCTCAGCTTATCCCAACTACTATTTCCCCAATATTGACTCACATCATCCAAGAGAGAGTGAATTGTTTTCTTCACTTAATTAAAAAGGCATCAATGTGTCTATTTTATGTCAGATATGTTTTTATTGTAAAGAAATTAGCTAAGTAGAAACTAATTTTATCACATATTCTTTTACTAGCTGCCTCATCGCTGCTTCTTGCTTTTGGTGTAGGAGACTTGGTTGGTCCTTGAGAGCCCTTCTGAGAATGAAAAGAGAGAAAATGTAAATTTGGACCACAGGACCACAATGGAAGTTTAGGTTTACCTACTTAGGAGGCTAGACTCAAAACTTTACTATAATCTCAGAAAAGCAAGCCCAATTCTACCACGAATTAAGCAAAAATGTACCTTTTATATGGTTTGTCCAGAGGATTCAGAGACATATATAATTCATAGTATATATTACATGGAAAAAATTAATAGACATCCTTCTTCAGCATGTCTTCCCCCTGACAACAAAGTGCCCTTCGAAGAGTGTGAACTGTGTCCTTCTCAGAACCCCTTCTGCAACAGGGATTCTACCTGGGCCTTCTCCCCTCCTCTCAGTCTTATCTGGCTGTGAGCCAGCCCCTACTGCAAGTTTTTCCTCATGCATTCTACATAAGGGATCGTGTCCTGCCCAACTTTCAGCGGAAAATCACTAAATTAACCCAATAAAACGGAAGTGTCAGCCGGGTACGGCAGCTCACGCCTGTGATCCCAGCACTTTGTGGGGCCGAGGGAGGTGGATCACCTGAGGTCAGGAGTTCGAGACCAGCCTGACGAACATGGAGAATCCCCGTCTCCACTAAAAATACAAAATTAGCCGGGCATGGTGGTGCATGCCTGTAATCCCAGTTACTCGGGAGGCTGAGGCAGGAGAATTGTTTGAACCCGGGAGGCGGAGGTTGTGGTGAGCCAAAATGGTGCCATTGCACTCCAGCCTGGTCAAAAAGAGTGAAAGCCCGTCTCAAAAAACAGAACAAAACAGCGATGTCCTTTTAATTTCTGCTTCATGAGGGATGGGGTAGGTTGGGGAGTGAGGATGATAGAATGTGTTGGGAGTAGATTATGGTTCTCAAGAGCTTTAGATGATGCAGGTTTTCCAGTGTTCTACCAGCAGTATTAATATCATAGGTATACTGCTTGGATAATTAACAATAAATTAATATTTTCAATGATGTATATTATCTTGGATCTAACTTTTGAAAGGTAATTTCATGATGACCTAGACCAAGTTTATTGAAAATTGCCTTCCAGTTTTCAGCCCTTCAATAGTAAATTAAACATTGAAAGATACTTGGCATTTTACTTTTGTGGGCATCTGTGTTAGGCTTGTGTTAAGGGATGATTAATTGAATTTCTTTTAAGTTGCTATACAGTATTAACATAATTTTATTAACCTAATGATAGCCTAAACAACTGATCTTTATTAGGATGCTAATAAAAAGATATTGAAGAATAATTCAGAAAAGATCATGCATTTGCCAGTCTCTTTTATAAAAATATTTTTGTCAAAGTAATTAATACATAATTTAAAAAAATAGTACAGGTATTATAATGAAAATGAGTGATGTTACCATTCCTTCCCCATGCTCACAGAGGTTACTTTCAACTGTGAGATTTCTTTTAGTATTATCTTCATATAGAAAACAAAATTATAACACTAAAGCTACAAACAGAATACACTACTGAAACTATTCTTTTGATTTTTAAAAATTGGCCTCCTGCCAGGTACAGTGGTACATTCTTGTAGTCCCATCTACTCACGGGGCTGAGGCAGGAGGATCACTAGAGAACAAGGACTTTGAGGCTGTAGTATGCCATGATCATTCCTGTTAGCCACTGCACTCCAACTTGGACAATATGGAGACTCCATTTCTCATAATAAATAAATGTTTAAAAATTGGCTTCCTCAAATAATTGATTAGAATTTAGCTCTCTTATATTCGTAACATTTATATATAATTATATATTCCTTTCCGACGAAAATCAACGGTAGGCATTTACATCATTATATTTTTGTAAACATTGAATAAGATTAGATGTTTGTGCTTCACTTATATTTCTTTTTTTTGTATGACTTTTTCTTTTTCCTGGAGTTACTATTTATTTCAATTTTTTTCTTAGTTTTCTAAGTTCTCATTCATTTATTTCAAATTGCTCAGATTTATGAATCATTTCTTCTTTTTTAGCCCCTCTCACTTCTTCCCGTCTCCTATTCATGGCCACTAACAGAGCAGAGAGAGGGATGCTTACAGCAGATAGCATTCATCCCCTTGTTCCTCTACTGTTACCCCCTCACCCATTCTCTTTGCCTTTTTGGAGTTTATACAGTTTTATTCCCTTGACTCATTTTTATTCAAGTTCTAGGGAGGCAGAGGAGATAAATATATGTGTTTAACCTCCTTGATAATCATAAATTTCTGTGCCATTTTCTTTTAGTCTTTTACCTAGTCTTCACATCAGTCTAAAGAGTTGGTGTTACTATCTCCATTCTTTAGGAAGATGGAGGGCCACGTATGGTGCTCACACCTGTAGTCCCAGCACTTTGGGAGCCTGAGGTTGGATGATTACTTGAGCCTAGGAGTTTGAGACCAGCCTCGGAAACATAGTAAGACCTTGTCTCTGAAGAAAAGAAAATCAGATGGTGTGTACCTGTAGTCCAAGCTACTTGGGAGGCTGAGGCAGGAGGATTACTCAAATCCAGGAGTTCCAGGCTGCAGTGAGCTATGATGGCACCACTGCACTTCAGCGTAGGTGACAAGGTGAGAAACTGTGTAAAAAAAGAAGACAGAAGTTCCGAGATACTAAGTGGCTTAATTCACATAGTAGATGTGGATCTGGGATTTCAAAGCAGTCAGTAGCTTACAAAGCCCACTCCTTCCTCACTCTACCAAAATGGAATGTCTCTTTCATTTGAGGGTATTGACAACTCTTGAGCTCCTTGAAAAGTTATTACCAAATAATATTTTAGTTTTGGTGACGCTTTAGATTAGTTTCATTACTGGTTCACCTAATTTAACAGTTGATCAGCTATAGGTACAAAAGAGAATGTATAATGAACATGGCTGAATTTCAGAATCGTAAAGAATTAGTTATAACCTTCACAGAGAAGCCAGAAGGACTGAGGCGATACGGCAGGGCTTGGGGAATAATTTGCTCTGATCAAAGGATGTCTTGTGACTCTGTGCAATCATTTAAAGATGAAGTAAAAAGAAATCTGTAAGTACTCGTAGGAGAACAATCTACAGGGCTAAACAGCTAAAATCACAGGAGTTTATTATGCCAGACAAACTTGGTTTCTCTTGTTTTGTGAAATCACATAGTGACTGAAGAGAATAAAAGCAGCAGATGGAATGTATCAGGTTACATACAGCACCACAATATGTGGTACGGTACACCGGAAAATGATAGGAAAAAATTAATTAAAATTAATGTGTCCCTAAGCACTGCTGCTTTTCCCTGCAAACTAACAGAAGTTAAATATTTATTTTAAAAGGTGAATGTTGGCTGGGCGCCGTTGCTCATGCCTGTAACCCCAGCACTTTGGGAGGCCAAAGATGGGCAGACCACCTGAGGTCGGGAGTTCGAGAATAGCATGGCCAACAGAGTGAAACCCTGTCTCTACTAAAAATACTGGCTGGGTGTGGCGGCATGTGCCTGTATTCCAAGCTACTCAGGAGGCTGAGGCAGGAGAATCGCTTGAACCCGGGAGGTGGTTGCAGTGAGCCAAGGTGGCTCCACTGCACTGAAGCCTGGGTGACTGAGCGAGACTTAGTCAAAAAAAAAAAAAGTGAATGTCAACCTGCTAAGACAACAAACTGTATAGAACTACTTCTGAGCCTGTTGCATGAAAAGCCTTCATTAAACTAGGAAACGTTAATATTTGAGGATATGCAACAATAATAGGTCAACCTGAGGTACAAAAATAACACAGAAGCTGTAGAGCTTTGTTGAAATTGTGTAGCATATAACAAAGATATATAGGATCAAGTACATTAAAAATGCATAAGAAATATTTTAAGTCTGAACCTTTGCCAAGAACTGTGATATCATTTGTGGAATGCAATTTTCTGATTCTGTATCACCTTTTATTACACCAACTTCAAAATGCCAGAAACTGATGTTTCCTCTCACCCAGAAAGCAGAAATGAAACAGATATTTTGCTAAGTTAAGGTAATAATAGGGCCGGGCGCGGTGGCTCACGCCTGTAATCCCAGCACTTTGGGAGGCCGAGGCGGGCGGATCACGAGGTCAGGAGATCGAGACCATCCCGGCTAAAACGGTGAAACCCCGTCTCTACTAAAAATACAAAAAATTAGCCGGGCGTAGTGGCGGGCGCCTGTAGTCCCAGCTACTTGGGAGGCTGAGGCAGGAGAATGGCGTGAACCCGGGAGGCGGAGCTTGCAGTGAGCCGAGATTGCGCCACTGCACTCCAGCCTGGGCGACAGAGCGAGACTCCGTCTCAAAAAAAAAAAAAAAAAAAAAAAAAAAAGGTAATAATAGATTGACCACAGATAAATAAGCAATTACAATAACTAAATTATAAGGAAACACTACCTTACTTTAGAGATGCAAAAACTGAGCCCCAAGGAGATGGGTTAATTCTCCTAGTGTCAGACATAGTGAGACTAGGAGATGTGTTAATAGATGGGTTAAACCCATGTGTTTTTGTAAGCCATGGTTTTCAGAAAGAAGTAACTTAAATAAAACCTAAATGGTACTTAACTAATTTCCAATGATCTGGCTATTTTCAAAACACTTTGGAAAACTGGAGCATGAGAATATTATAAATGCAAAATGTTTCTTTGAAATTCTCTTAAATACATTTCATTTTTTTTCCTGTGAGAGCTACTTTGCTTGAGCCTTATAGAAATAATTCTGCTTTTGAGTACTAGTGAGAAGAAACATCTTTATTCTTTCAATAGATATTTTTCAATGCCTACTACGTGCTAGAGTTATGCTAGGCTAAAAGGTAGAATGATAAACCGATATATAAGGTTCCTCTCATGGTGGAACACTCATTCTACTGGAGAACTAGACTTTTATTATGTTTGTAGCAGACAATCTAATGAAATTTTTTCTTATTTCTAATGTCCATGATTTTTGGCTTCACAGTAGCTATCACAAAATTATTCTGACATTATCCACATATGGTATTGCTAGATAGCCATGGCTGTGAAATTTGGTTCCTTAGCAACTGCAAATGTACCTTGGAAAGGAAAAGAAATTGTCATGAAATACTCTAGGACAGTACGTCCTTCTCAAAACTATAGGTTAACCCTTAGCATAATATTTTTCAGTGTACCATAAAAATATTACAGATAGAAAGCGTCATTTAAAGTAGCATTTTTGGCTGGGCACGGTGGCTCAGGCCTGTAATTCCAGCACTTTGGGAGGCCAAGGTGGGTGGATTGGGTGAGCCAGGAGTTTGAGACCAGCCTGGGCAACATGGCAAAACCCTGCCTCTACAAAAATACAAAAAGTAGCTGGGTGCGGTGATGTGTGCCTGTAGGCCCAGCTACTCGGGAGGCTGAGGTTGGAGGATGACTTGAGCCCAGGAGGCGGAGGTTACAGTGAGATGAGATTGGGGGGTGGGGGCGGGAAGCATTTATTTTCCTGGTGATTTCGTAGTATGGGAAGTCATCATTGTTACTTGAATAAGACTGGATGGTAATTGGGGGGTGATTTACATGATGTCTCTTGCCCAGGGTTAGTAGTGTGCTCTGTGAGTCTTGCAGGCTGAGGGCCAGTTTCTAGACTCCCAGTCTCTACTTTAGCTTCACATCTTTCTGAATTTAAAGGACTTGAAAGAAACATTCTGTAGGCTCTAGGTACTCCCAATTTTAGAGGCTCCACCTCAAAATACATCAAATATATTACAGTATATCCACATCTGGTATTAAATATAACCAATATATAATTAATTACTCAAGCATTATGTTGAAACAACATAACTTCTCAGAGTGCAATAAGAAACAACATTTCTCCTACTCAGTGCCTGCCTAAACATACTCTAGGGTTATTTCCCTACCCCTCAATAAAATCTTAGACCCTAAAACCCATCTGCTCCCTCTTAATCAAAAGTCCTCTAGTCATTTTATGAAAAGAATCATCTCGTGTTTGTAATAAACATGTCCATTTCAGTGGGATGCTCAACTCCAACTTCAGCATCAAGGTCCTCTCTTCCCCATCTGTTGGGAACCTTTATAAGCTCTTGAGAATTTTCCTACTCGGTCTTTCCAATTGAGCTTTCTTGATGCAGCCGGTGCCTGTCCCAGGGTCTTCCACTGCTACAGGCTCCTTCCTTTCTGCATTTGACAGATCTTTTCACTGAGGTTCTCATTTTTTTTGTTTTTTTTTTTTTTGAGAGTCTCACACTGTTGCCATGCTGGAGTGCAGTGGCGTGATCTTGGCTCACTGCAATCTCCGCTTCCTGGGTTCAAGTGGTTCTCCTGCCTCAGCCTCCTGAGTAGTTGGATTACAGGCACGCACCACCACGCCGAGTTGATTTTTGTAGTTTTGGTAGAGACGGGGTTTCACCGTGTTAGCCAGGATGCTCTTGATCTCCTGACCTCGTGATCCTCCCGCCTTGGCCTCCCAGAGTGCTGGGATTACAGGCGTGAGCCACCGTGCATGGATGAGGTTCTCACTTTAGTCAAAGCCTTCTTGGGCAGAGCCTTCTAAGGAAGATCCCCAGACAGAATCTAGGGACCCAAGTCATACACTTTCATTTATCATCATTGAGAGTACAATTACTTCCTAAAATCTGTCCCTGTTCTGAGTTTAGGAAATTTTAGCCACTGATGTGGACATCTTTTTAAAACATAAATTAGATATTCTGTGCTCCCAAACTCCAGGACATTCATGTAATATGGCTGACGCCCTAAGAATTTATACCTAAATCAACATGACTCATTGAAATACTGTGTAAAGTCAACATGGAATCAACAGATCTTACCAGGAAAAAGAAGTTGTATCATCAGACTGCAGTGGGTTTGAATCCACAACCCCTACCACCAGTCCCTGGTATTATGTGGGTTGTGTGGGAAAGACAAGTTACTCAACTGCATTGAATTTCAAATTGGTTAATTGATAATTAATTCCTCAATATTTGTCATAAATGTGTATAAGAGAAAGATTTTAGACATAAGATCATGCAACAAGGTGAAAATTACATAAGAAGTCAGGGCAAAAGGAACATGGGAAAAGAAATGTAAGATGTAGCCAGAGTTTATTTTAATATACAAAGTTTATGTCATCATAGTTTCCTCATTGCTTAAGTAAAGCTATAAATCCTTGACATATAATAGTTCCTCATTAAATGTACGGTGGTCATCATTACTGCAAGTATACACAACTTGTCACTGCAAAAACTGCAGAGATGTATTTGTTTCTGTTTTATGCTTAGTGTTCAATACTACTGAGGTTCTCATGAGAAGATAGAAATGAATGGATTTTGAAATAAGGATGGAATGAGCAGGATAACTGAGCTGTCTTGATGGATAATAGATAAAGTATAATCTGAACTAAAAAGAAAGCTCTCTGAATCGCCTATAGAGACAAATATTATAGACAGGGGAAATACAGTATGTGATTACTTACACAAAAAAGTAAATATAAAATTATTGTAGAAGAAAAAGGAGGTATTAAAAGTAAATAATATGGGTCATTTTTGGTTTTTGTTGGTATTATTATTATTACTATTAGTTGGCAGCTGATATTTGTTGAATTACCAATATGGGCCAAGTACTTAATCTGTATTATCTCCATCCTCAAGAGGGTGAAAAATAAGTGATCTTTCTATAAATGAGGATATTGACTCTCTGAAAAGAAATTTAACCAAAGATAGCATAGAATTCAAGCCCAAGAAGGGTGAGTGGTTTCTAAGTGATTACACTATTTATATTAGTTATGAGCTCTAAATAAGCTCTATAATGACTGGGCACGGTGGCTCATACCTGTTATTCCAGCACTTTGGGAGGCCAATGTGGGAGGATCACTTGAGGCCAGGAGTCCGAGACTGGCCTGGGCAATAAAGAGAGGCCCTTTGTCTACAAAAAAGTAAAAAATTAGCCAACCATGGTGGTGCACACCTGTGTGCACCCAGCTACTCAGGAGGCTAAGATAGGAGGAATGTTGCTTGAGCCTGGGAGTGATGGTTGCAGAGAGCCAAGATTGCATCAGTGCACTCCAGCCTGGGCAACAGTGTGAGACCCTGTCTCAAAATAAAAAAAAAAGGCTTTATAACCAGTGTCCGTCCCCCCAACCCCCACCAACTTTAATGCATAGAGGAGAGGTACAGTTTCTTTGTAATATAAGGTACTCTAGTATAGAATCAGGTATAAAGTAATAGTGACTTTGACAGTGGCTGTTTAGATGTCACATGCCATGGGGGAACTTCAGTGACTACCGTGTCATTATTTCTAGACTATCACTAATAATTAAAAATAGATAACAATAAAACAGTAATTGCAGGGGAGAGAGTGAGAAATGGAGAGGTGTAGGTCTGAGGACCTGAAGTAGTAGATATGTAGGATGTACAGGTCTAGAGATCTAATGTACAACATGAGGACTATAGTTAAAATATTTTATGGTATTTGGAATTTTGGTTAAATAAGTAGACTTTAGCTGGTTTTGTCACACAAAAAGAAGTGTGAAATGGTAGATATGCTATTTTGCTTCACTGTGGTAACCATTTTACTCTCTATAGGTTTCTTATAGTGCCATGTCACCTTAAATATACACAATAATATTTATTTCCAAAAAATGCAATTGCAATAGCAGTAATAGTGATACTTTTAATATAGGTAATTGACCTTCTGAAAAGTATGAATAGTAACATCTTTAGGACACTTTACTATGTTTATTAAGTCCCAACTTAAAGTCTAGGAAAAAAGTGTGCTTGATGTATAAACATAGATTCAAAATAGTTCTTTAGACATACCCCGTCCTCTCCCATGACTGATACATGTTGTTTATAAGCTCTAAGAAAGGAAGCTCTAAAGAATAGAGAATTTTGGAAGCACTGAGGATATGAACTATGTTTAAAGAATTGTATTAGGGAAATTTGGTTTTGATGCTTATTCTCTGATAATATTTAGCAGCAGGAACTGGAGAACAGCCAAGCCCTCAGCAAAGGCATTCATGTTCTGGCCTGTTTATATTCATTTGCCCCATTGTCAGGGAGGAAAATAAAATTTTAGGGAAATGTATATAAAGACCAAAGTACTTAACTTAGGGCATGCTTAAATCCAGCATTAAGTGTCCATCTATTTAAAAATAGATGGATCTGTAGAGCTGATACAAAATTATTTGATTTTTCTCGTTGGCATTTCTTTATCATATGATTTACATTTTGCTTTTCCCTTTTGAACTCCATCCTTTATGTTTCCAGTTCAGCAAGTCTTCCTTTTGGTTCTCCGTCCTGAGCCACATGGTTTAAACATTTTTATCTTAGCTGTCTATATTACTATCTTCTCACACTGCTGTGAAGAAATACCTGAGACTGGGTAATTTATAAAGAAAAGAGGTTTAATTGACTCACAGTTCAGCATGGCTGAGGCGGCTTCAGGAAACTTACAATCATGGTGGCAGGCACCTCTTCACAGGGTGGCAGGAGAGAGAATGAGTGCAATCAAGGGAAATGCCAGACACTTATAAAACCACCAGATCTTGTGAAACACTCTTTATCATGAGAACGGCATGGAGGAAACCACCCTCATGCTTCAGTTACTTCCAACTGGTCCCTCCCATGACCCGTGGGGATTATGGGAGCTACAATTCAAGATGAGATTTGAGTGGGGGTGCCGCCCAACCATATTATTCTGCCCTTGGCCCCTTTAAAATCTCATGTCGTCACAATTCAAATCACAATCATGCCCTCCCAACAGTCCCCTAAAGTCTCAACTCATCCCTGCATTAACTCAAAAGCCCAACTCCAAAGTCTTATCTGAGACAAGACAAGTCCCTTTTGCTTATGAGCCTGTAAAATAAAAAACAAGTTAGTTACTTCTTAGATACAATGGAAGTACAGGCATTGGGTAAACACACCTGTTCCAAATGGTAGAAATTAGCCAAAACAAGGGGCTACAGGCTGCGTGCAAGTCCAAAATCCAGTAAGGCATTCGTTAAACCTTAAAGTTCCAAAATGATCTCCTTTGATTCCGTGTCTCACAGCCAAGTCATGCTGATGCAAGAGGTGAACTCCCATGGCCTTGGGTAGCTCTGCCCCTGTGGCTTTGTAGGGTACAGTCCCCCTCCGGGACTGCTTTCATGGGCTGGCTTTGAGCGTCTGTGGCATTTCCAGGCACACAGTGCAAGCTGTCAGTGGATCTACCATTCTGGGGTCTGGAGGACGGTGGCCCTCTTCTCACAGCTCCATTAGGCAGTGCCCCAGTGGGGACTCTGTGTGGGGGCTCCAACCCCACATTTCCCTTCCATGCTGTCCTAGCAGAGGTTCTCCATGAGGGATCCATCTCTGCAGCAAACTTCTGCCTGGACATTCATACATGTCTATATGTCCTCTGAAATCTAAGCAGAGGTTTCCAAACCTCACTTCTTGACTTCTGTGTAGCTGCAGGCTCAACACCACATGAAAGGTGCCAAGGCTTGGGGATTGCACCCTCTGAAGTCATGGACTGAGCTGTACCTTGTCCCCTTTTAGCCAAGTCTGGAGCATCTGGGACACAGGGTATGAAGTCCCTAGGCTGCACACAGCAGGGAGGCCCTGGGCCCAGCCCAGGAAACCATTTTTTCCTTTTCAACCTTAGGGCCTGTGATGGGAGGGGCTGCCAGGAAGGTCCCCGACATGCCTTGGAGACATTTACTCCATTGTCTTGGTGCTTAACATTCTGCTCCTTGTTACTTATAGAAATTTCTGTAGCAGGCTTGAATTTCTCCCCAGAAAATGGGGTTTTCTTTTTTATTGCATTGTCAGGCTGCAAATTTTCCAAATGTTTATGCTCTGCTTCCTCTTAAATCTTTTCCACTTGGAAATTTCTTCCACCAGATACGCTAAATCATCTCTCTCAAGTTCAAAGTTTATAGATATCTAGGGCAGGGGCATAATGCCACCAGTCTCTTTGCTAAAACATAGTAAGAGTCACCTTTGCTCTACTTCCTAACAAGTTCCTTATCTCCCTCTAAGACCATCTCAGCCTGGACTTTATTGTACATATCATTATCGGTATTTTGGTCAAAGCCATTCAACAAATCTCTAGGAAGTTACAAACTTTCCCACATCTTCCTGTCTTCTAAGCCCTTCAAGTCTCTAAGAAGTTCCAAACTTTCCCACATTTTCCTGTCTTGTTCTGAGCCCTCCAAACTGTTCCATCCTCTGCCTTTAGTACCCAGTTCCAAAGCTGCTTGCACATTTTCCAGTACCCTTATATGAGCACCTCACTCTACCAGTACCAATTTACTGGATTATTGCGTTCTAACAGTGCTCTGAAAGAATACCTGAGACTGGGTAATTTATAAAGAAAAGAGGTGTAATTGACTCACAGTTCTGCCTGGCTGGGGAGGCCTCAGGAAACTTACAATCATGGTTAAAGGCACCTCTTCACAGGGTGGCAAAATGGAGAATGAGAGCAAGCAGGGAAAATACCAGACACTAATAAAAGCATCAGATCTTATGAGACTCTCATTATAAGGCAAATAGCATAGGAGAAACCACCCCCATGATTCAGTTACCTCCAGCTGGTTCCTCCCATGACACCTGAGGATTATGGGATCTACAATTCAGATGAGATTTGGGTGGGGACTCAGCCAAACAATATCAATGCCCTTCCCTGACAATTACCCACCTCCCCACAGTCTCTCCTACTTCGTCAACTCAAATAAGTCATCTGTAAGCTCATGCCTCTTATCAAGTATGCTGGAGTGACACCTGCTATTCAGATCAGGGCACCTGAAGCTCTCCTATCACTAGAATGCCATCTCATGGCTTAAAGCATGAACCATCCAATAAACTCATTGCCTGTTACAAGGGGCCAGTTGAGGCACAGAAAGTTTAAATAATCATGGTGCATACAAAATGATCCTGAGCAGGGTACTGAGGTAGGAGGCAGGACTCTACTCAGGAGGTGGGGCTTGACTCCAGAGGTGGGTCTTGGACCCTGGACCAAATTGAGGACCAGCTAAAACAGGGATGGGACAGAAGGAGCTTTCCATAAGCCATGCCCACCAGTGTCCTATGTCAGTTTACCATTGCCCTGTCAACACCTAGAAGCTGTTGCCCCTTTCCATGGCAATGACCCGATAACCTGAAAGTTACCACCGTTTTTTAAAAGAAAGTTCTGCATAATCTCCTTAATTTGCATATAATTAAAAGTAGGTATAAATATGCCTGTGCAACTGCCCCTGAGCTGCTACTTTGGGCATACTGCTTATGGATGGGGTAGCCCTGCTCCTCAAGGAGCAATCCCTCTGCTGCTGCTGGTCAGTACCACTTCAATAAAAGTTGCTGTCTAACCCCACCAGCTCACCCTCGAATTATTTCCTGGGATAGGCCAAGAACCATCCCAGGCCAAGCCCCAGTTCTGGGGCTTGCCTGCCCGGCATCAGTACTACACACAGTCTAAACACTGTTTGACTTGCTTACTTACCTTAATCAAAATACAGAGCCACAATTTCTAAGAGCCTCCAGAATTTGTAGAAGTCCACTGCTTACTCTGTAAAGACAGAAAAACGTTCTTGCTCAAAATGCAGCTCCATCTATTAGAGTTGGTAAATATGTAGAAAACAGCATGTAGAGATTTCTACACATTTTAATGAGATGCCGAGTCTTTTTGACAAGGTGACTTTGTTTTCTTCATGTGCTAGGAAAATGTGAATGGAAGAATTATGGAATGTCATTTTTCATTTAACATCATTCTGTAGCTCTCTTTTCAAATGAAAAGCCAGATTAAAATACAAAATCAGTGAAAATGAGCCAATTTCAGCAACTCTGCTTTTTCTGACTCGTTCATTTACCCAAAAGTTTTCAGCAATATTTTAGGTAGAAAGTGTTGTTAGAAATAGAGTATTTGCCTTTAGGGGAATACATTGATCTACTTAATAGCACAGAAAAATAAATGGTGAACTGAATGCTCAGAACCATAATTTATCTATAATTTAGAAAGGGTCAAAACTCAAGAAATAAAGTTGCATATAATTTTTCTCAGCCTGAAAGCTGTAGGGAACCATATTTAGGACAGCATTTCAGATATGAAGATGCCTAAATGAACTCAAATCACTCAAATGTAGCAACTGAAGAGCAAAAGTCTAGCAAATTGGTAGCTAACGCTTAGAGTAACCACATTTTGAAACAACATTGCTTGAAAAACTATTGTCTTTCAAAAACTAAGATGTTGAAAGCAAACTGTTTAACATTCAAACGTGTTTCAGAAGTAATGCATAATGATTCCGTAATGATCAAAAAAAAGCATACTCATATATTAAAAGTTCTGAGATATTTTTCTTTCTGTTACACAGTTTTCCAAACTCATTTGATCATTACTGCATCCTTTCTGGAATATTCTCTGTAGTATTTTGTCAAACACAAGTGTGTCATAGGAAATAACTTGAGAAACTCTGAATTGGGCTTTTTGGTGACTCGTCTTGCATAGAATCAGCTGTGTATGCTTAAATCTTGCACAATTATGCAAGGAGTACATGCTACATTGAGAGTTCTTCAAAGTTTGTGATCAGTTATTTCTGCGCTTAAAGTGATATCCTAAAATTGAAAGGATTTTATTATATAAAAGGAAAAAAAATGCGCTATTTTTCAATATGAGTATACCGCTCATTGTTCAGTTAGGGAATACCTTTTGCTTGGAGGTTGTAATTGCTCAGTGAATGTACCCTTGGGCATATAGCTTAAATTAGATTCTCTGGTAATTTTTTGACCATGTAATTTAGTTTAGGCTTTAAGGTTTAAAATCAAATTATTGGAAGTAAAGAAACAAAAAAAAAAAAGACCTAATGCTCCTATTGTATATTTACATTTAAATACCAAAGTTATGTTTATGAGATGATACTACCTATGAAAGTTAACCTTTTCCAGCTGGTATGATAATGATTTTTGTTTGTTTGTTTTTACTGTAAAGGGAAAGGTAGTGTAAAGATAAAGCTTGATTTTTAAAGGATGCTTAAATATTTATTAAATAGCCTTATAAAGGCAAAATACAGAATTAAGTGGCCTCAGTCATCTGCCTTAATCAAGTATTTTATTAAGTGTCTTAATCAGCACATACTTAAGCTGATAAATCGTTAATATTAATAGAGTTAATATTAATTTCTCAGAATAATTTTTCTTTCATTGATAATATTAAAAACAGAACATTGAAATAGATGCCTAATACCAGGCTTACTAAGAAAAATAGACTTCCCTCAAAAATTAGCAAAGGATCATTGTTAAGTGGTTTTAACACTTGTTTTTTTCACAAATCTGAAATTAAGAATCTCATTAGGCTCATTTTCTGCTCAGAGCTAATATAAACTTCAACTACTAATCTCTTCTGATATGGTCTACTCTTATTATCTTCGTTTGTTGTGAAGACTTTGGTTCTGTCTTACTGTTGTCATTTTTGTTAAATTACATGGGCATTATTCATAAGTAAACATAAGAGAGTAAAAGACATCAGTTTACTGTGGTTATGTGGCAGATTTTGTTTTCTCCTACAAGTGAGATACTGCAAATGAATCTGACTACAGTATTTAAGAAAAGACTGACTGAAAGAGTCCCAGAGAAGAGTGAGTAAAAAGAACTGTGAGGAAGAGCAGGGAAGATAACGAGAGTCTAAAATCGACTTTTTCAGCCAGAAAAGACGTAGGCTGAGAAAGATTTTCACTGAGGGCTATGAAATCATGACCTGTAGAGATAGGGAGGATATTGCTTGCTTGCTAGCTTCACTGATGTTTGAGGGCAGTTTTTGGACTTATGAAAACAAGTACTGACTTACAAAGTGGCTAATACTTGTGTTACATTTATAACTCTAAGAAGAAGAGTTTATCAAAAACACATACCAAAAGAATATGGACAGAAAATGTAAAAGGCACATCATGATCTTGTTACTTGGGAAATTAGGTAAATTGAGAATACTTGTCTTATTTATTTATTTATTTATTTATATATTTTGAGACAGGGTATCACTCTGTCTCTGAGGCTGGAGTGCAGTGGTATGATCTTGACTCACTGCAACCTCCACCTCTTGGGCTGAAGCCATCCTCCTACCTCAGCCTCTCAAGTAGCTGGGACTACAGGCCCACGCCACCATGCCTGGCTAATTTTATTTGTGTTCTTTGTAGATATGGGGTTTCATCATGTTGCCAGGCTGATCTTGAACTCTTGGGCTCATGCAGTCCACCCACCTTGGATTTCCAAAGTGGTGAGATTACAGGCATGGGTTCCTGTGCCTGGCCACTTCTTTTATTTTTGCTAGAACTTTATGAAGGTCTTAGCAATGGTATGGTGGTGAACAGGCTCTCAAATGAGAAAGAGAGAGAGGAAGCATTTGCTGACTGCCATGGTGTAAACACATGCCAATAATGACTAATCTCAAGCTACCAAAAATGTAGCAACTGGCTTTCAAAATTCCTCAATATTTACCAATTGCTCTCACAACTCGTTAAATTTTTTAGAGTCTATGGAGAAAGTCACTGTTACAAAGTCTTTCTGGTTAAATTATTAGTCAAGAAACCCACAGTACTCCCAAAATTAGCATAAGTGGATTAAAATGATAATTTAAAAATCTGATTTCATATGTCTTCCCTCTCATGTAAACCTTCCACTGGTTTTCATGCATGCATCTATTCATTCATGCCTTGCCTATTGTATCTCCATGAGGCATGTGATGGCGGCTGTAAGAACAGGAAAATTTGGTATAAGGGGAGATTGAGGTGTTAGACTCCATAGTCTGATGATAAACATCTTCTTGTGCTGTGAAGACAGTGGACTCAGGCAAACCGGCATTACATACACAGTGTCTACAGGCAAGTAAAAGATTATGATGCTGCGGGTCTGAGGAATGTGGGACTTCTAGTGTGCTCTTTTCCAATCACTTTTAAATCTCTTTAACTCCATTGTGTGTGGTTCTTGCTAAATAAATGGCAATGTGGAAAGAAACTGTATGAAAAAAATAATAGCAAGACAATGACTTGTAATTAACTGAGCTAATGGCTTTAAGTAAGCAAAATGAACAATTTCCAGGGGCTTTTATGTACTTCCACCAATGCATTGAAAGAATTATGATTATACATTTGTTCTAGAAAATGGCTGGAAGGTGTTAAATTGCTTAGCTCTGTTACAAATAAGAGTTGCTTAGTAATTATCATGCAAACATTCATTTCATAAAAGGGTATTTGTTGATGTCTTATCATGAAATAGGAAAGATGAAGAGCTTGCAGACCTTTCAGGCTGAGAAACACATTTCACCTCCACCAAAACTATATTTATTCTTCTCAAGATGTTTTTTTAGCCATTCCCTGTGCCAGCCTCATGGCTAGTTTTCATGGGATAAGGAGGAGTTTGGCCTTTGGTGGCATAAATGATGAACAGAGCTGGTTGCTATTAGGGGACTCAATAACTGTTCTGCAGGAAAAAACTTTTCCTTGAGAAGATGCCGCGCTAACATACTTAGCTGACTCACAGAAATCGGGATGTCTTTGGCTAAAATATAAAAAAGACCCAGAATATTTATGATTTCACTTTATTTGGACATAAAAATAAAATATCATTTGATTGTACGCATAAGATATATTTGGAACTTCCTTAGTGTATTAGTCCATTTTCACACTGCTGATAAAGACATATCCAAGACTGGGTAATTTATAAAGGAAAAGAGGTTTAATGGACTCACAGTTCCACGTGGCTGGCAGGGCTTCACAATCATCGTAGAAAGTGAAAGGCATGTCTCACATGGCGGCAGGCAAGAGAGAATGAGAGCCAAGTGAAAGGGGAAACCCCTTATAAGACCATCAGATCTCATGAGACTTACTACCATGAGAACAGTATGGGAGAAACCATCCTGATGGTTCAGTTATCTCCCACTGGGCCCTTCCCACAGCACATGAGAATCCTGGCAGCTACAATTCAAGATGACATTTGGGTGGGGACACAGACAAACGATATCACTGAAGCACCTTATTTAAGTCATTAGTTAATAACTTAATGTGTCACTCTACTTGGTAATCATTTTTCAAATATTTGGAAGTAAATCTTGATGCTTCCTCAGCTTGCTTATAGATAGCATTTTGAAAAAAATCCTAGTAACTTCATTTGAAACTACAGGCTGCTGAGTTCATTCATTTTTGTAAGCCCCGTATCTAGCACAATGGTCAACACATAGTAAATGCTCAATAAATAATATAAAATGGATGGGGATGTGTTAAGAATATTGTGAAAAAACATTATCTTCAACTTTATAGATTTTGTAGTGATTTTGTCATTCATATCCCTTCTGTATACCCAGGTGATGAATATTCAGAAAACATAGGCATATAATCTTAGGTAGTATGCATAATTTTGGCATGGAATCACTGCTTGTAATGCTTACAATTATTTACAATATTTGATGATGGTGGAAAATACTTTCATCAGAATTGACACAGCCTCATTATATCATTTATTCTTAAAGTAACAGACATTGAAAGAGACTGAAGTAAATAAACGAGTGATAATTTAACTGAAGTGACACATCCGTTTTAAACACGGAATGCCAGCCTGCTGGGATGAGGAGCATTTCTAAAAACTGTTTAGCTTAGTGCAGTTTAGCTTCCTGTAATATTTATTTACTGTGGATATAGAACATTTCCTGTATGTATTTGCTACAAAATTCTTTTGGTAATCGTGTGTTTATTAATTTTTCTCATTTGCATTTCTTTTTAGTGCATTCATTTCCCTTGCTGGAATTTCAGCACACTGGGTAGATATGTGGGCCATTGCACCAAGTGCTGAGCCTGCAGATTACTTCCCGTCAAGTGGCTTCCCCCTATATTGGCATCCTTATGGTAATGAAACATTGCACGGCCACTTAGCCATCACACCACAGCCTTGCTGCACAGCTCAGTTTTTGCAGCTCGCCAGGAGCCTTTAGGAGCAGCAAGAACAGAGTGTAGTGAGTGAGCCAACACATTCCTTTAAGAAATGCCAAAACCTCCCGATAGAGAAGGGCCTCAAATATCATTACAGATAACACCAAAATCGACCAAAATAGGATGCCTCATTCTGATTAGAAGAGAGAAAAGAACAACTCATATTTTTTGGCCTACTTAGTCATACAGGATGCATCACCAATGTCATTTTTAAAATACTGAGATTACTAAATATATACATATGTATATGTATATATGCATATGTGGGAGTATATTTATCCGACTTCATAAAACAAGGCTGTCGGTGGTGGTGACTGTCTGAGGACACAGAGGACGTGGAGCAGAAGGGTGCTCACTGCTTCCTAGCTAATTTTCTATGTCATTTGAAGCATGGCAACTTCCTGCAAAGAGAGTTCCATTTAATCTGTGTGTTTTTACCAGGAAATTGAAGGAAGAACTGTGATTTTTTTTTTTTTTTTTTGCAAATGCTTCTCTGACTTTACCCGAACGGGACCTTGTGGCTTGAGTGCACTTACACGCCTCTATTTCAATGATGCTGTTCCCATGCATGGCTGGTTATCAAGCACTTTTCTCAAGTAATAAGAAACATTTTCCAGTGCTATTTCTTTCCTTGCTTGTGAGTTTCTGACAAATTTCTTAAAAGCTTTCCATTGTGGATGTGTGAGATGAGAGGACATTTGATGGCAATAAGATGGAGGCATCTTGGAAGAATTTTAGTTAAACAGTTTGGATGTTACTTTCTAGATCTTTGACTAAAAATGTTATGAATTGAATGAGTTTGAGGATAGGAAGGCTAATATAATAATAACTTGTGGTGCATAGACTCTAAGTGTTAACTGTGGCAAGCTTTGAAAGAAAGATTGGAAGGGTGTAGGGAGTGGTATCTGGGTGTGGTTGCAAAAGAAAGTGTGGACATTAATAGACGCGATTAGGGGTAGTGCGAGACAAAAACTACTCCCGGCAATACGAAAAAGTCAGCCACTTCAGTTATGCAGACAGAAAGCTCACTGACCAGTGTCAAATAAAAAGGAAATTTGGACTGAAAGAAGAAGATACTTTATTTGAAAGGATTATTACAAGAGTGGTGAAAGGGATGATTATAGGTGGAGGAAGATAATAGGGAGATAGCTTCCACTATGAGATCTGGTAGGTCTCAAAAGTTGAGCAAAAGACAGATTTTCTTTTACAGGGAGAGGTAAACATGGCTGGAATTCACCAAGTTTGGGGAGGTGGGTGAGGAATGGTGGTATGATCAGACAGCAGAGAAGAGAATGTTTTATTCTGAAATCAGCTTATTCTCCAGAGGTTGTGTGTAAAGTTCAGCAGTCTAAGGGGAAGGAGAGAATTTTGCATTTTGTTCTGATTGATCAATTTGTCATTTCTGAGGCCAAGAATGGAAATTTGAAGGATCTGTGTTGTGGCCTTGTCATAGGTAAAGGAGTGCATCTGTTTCTTATCTAAGTTTTGTGGGGACATGTGTTTCTTTGCAGTAAGCCATTTCACAGAACACAAACTATGGGAGGATTTATTAACTTATACTGTATTCCAGGATCACAGGGCGCTTCTGAGATTCAACCTTGTCACCAGCAGTGAGAGAGTGCAGAATAGCAGTTGGTGTCAGAGCACCAAGGACTAAATGGAGAGTCTGGAGGGACAATCAGAGCTTAGTGAAGGGGAGTCCCAGAACAGATGGCGTGCTGAGCTCAGCCAGGCAGGCAGGCCTGCAAAACGTCTGCATAAGGAATATTTATCCCCAGCAGTGGGAGCTGAGGCATGGGCTGGAGTTCAGAGACAAGACTTCATTCCTCAGAGGTAAAATGCTGAGAATAAATGGGCCCCAAATCTCAAAGCTTATAAGGTGAGTCTTGGTTTTGGGAACCCAGCATTTCCATTTAGAGTAACCAAGACATCACCGGGAGCTGAATTAACACATTGGAGATATGTGGGAGAGCACTGAAAATAACTCTTCTTCCCACCAGTGGATGAAATTGATCCTAGACTCTGGATCGCCAATGTGGTCCAGCTCTTGTGGAATGAGGGGATGTGAAAAAAAAGAGGACAGATGTTGGCACATGGTATCTTTAAAAAAGGGTCTCTTCTTAAAGAAAACCAATTTATTTTCAGCCTGAATAATAGCATAGTACATCATGAACCTCTATTATTTCCGTACTATATTCTTTGGAATTTCTTTTTGTTTTATAGGTCAGCATCCTGAGTCTCATATGGGGAAAGCATAGTTAAATTTAGGAAGGAAATAGAATATAAATAGCTGTATTAAAGGATTGTAAGGCTTGAAAAATTACATGTCAAAACTGGAAATGTAAAAATTAGGTTCTTTTAGGTTTCTCTCCTTTGGAATTTCTTTTCTATTTATTTTGTGTTGATAACATTAATGTTGAATATTGAATTATTTTTATTCCACATATGGAGTATAATCTATATGCAAGAGGGAGACTTTTATAAATGAATTGCAGATGGTTTACCATTTACTTTCCTTAAGTTACTTTAAAATTGAAAAAATATCCAAGAAGTGCTGATAATATATAAATATAAAGGCTGTCCTCTTTTTCAAAACAAGAAAAATCTTGTTTTGTTTTGTTAATTCACAAGAATATTTGTAAAAATTTTATGTGTGTGAAGAAAACATATTATTTTCCCAACCTCCTGTAACAGTTCCCAAAGATGAATTTAAATGTTGCAATACCCCAGAACTGCTCTCTATATCTGGTCTAGTAAGTCCTGAGTTACGTTATTTAAATTTGAAATATTTATACAGGACACGGAATGGTATTTCACAAGATTGCTCTGCTGAATGCTGTCTCATATCACTTAGTTGTAATTATAGTATAACGCCTATCCTGGTATGCCATGTATGTATATGTGTGTGTGTGTGTGTGTGTGTGTGTTTGTTTGTGTGTGTGTGTGTGTGTGTGTGCCTATAGATGTTTCTACTTTTTACATCAGGGTTAGATGTCTTAGGGGATAATAGTTGTAGCCTGTACCTCTTTGACTACCCTATAGTTCTTAAAAATGGTGTCTCATACATGATCAGCATTCAATATATATTTGGCAATTTAAAACCTAAATCTTAAAGTGAAGTGTCATCCTTTTAAATCCTTATGCATTCCAGCCAATTTCTAAAACTACAGAATGCAATACTTAGAATGTGTCTAGACACGTGCATGGACGTCAAAGAGATGCTTAATGAAGGGCTGTCTCTTTAGACCATGAGCACAGTCTACTCTCTGGCCTCTCTTCCCCCTGGTCTCAGTCTCCATGTCCTTCCCACAAGATGCAGTCCAAAGAGCTTCCCTAGAGTAGAGGTCTGACCTCTGTCAAATTGGCTATTATCTCCCACTTTTCTCCCCCATGTGCCCAATGCTTCAGTCATCCTTAGCCACAGGCAGTTGCTCAAATGAGCCACACTTTTTAAGTCTCGGTGCCTCTGTACACACTGTTCACTCTTCCTGTTGTGCCTCAACTCATTGTCCTGGTGAATTTCTACCCAACACTGGGCATTTTCTCCGACTTTCCCAGGTAAAGTTGGCCATTGTCACCATTGCAACCTTGCTAGACCTTGTATTTACCTCCGTTTCACATCAGTTCTTCCATGATGAATTTATCTGTTCCTGTTCCTGTCTACTCCAACACACAAGAACTATTTGAGGGGAGGGATCCATTCTTATTCCAGTTTGTATTCCCCGTGTTTTTGCTTTCACAATGCCCTGCTGATAGATTATCAATGTGTGGTCACTAAATTAATTAATGAATCCGAAGCTTATTTTAAAAAATCTTTTTCTATGGAATAACGGGTAGAGTTTAGTATAAATCCATGCATTTGGACACTATTCCTAAATATAATCATATCTCTGTAGATATAAATAGTATAAATTTTCTACTTGTAGTTATTAAAAATGTAAATTTAAAAAATACAGCATTAATCATTGTGATACTACTAGCATGATTTTAATTCATCTACTTCAGTCAATCATTTTTTGTTTGTTTGTTTGTTTTGCTTTTTTGAGATGGCGTCTCCCTCTGTTGCCCAGGCTGGAATGCGATGACACGATCTTGGCTCACTGCAGCCTCCGCCTCCAGGGTTCAAGCAATTTTCCTGCCTTGGCCTCCCGAGTAGCTGGGAGTACAGGTGCGCACTAGCACGCCCGGCTAATTTTTGTATTTTTAGTGGAGACGGGGTTTCACCATATTGGTCAGGCTGGTCTCAAACTCCTGACCTCAGGTGATCCACTTGCCTTGGCTTCCCAAACTGCTGGGATTACAGGCGTGAGCCACTGCACCCGACCCTGAAATTTTCTTTACCATGTGCTGAAGCTTAATCAAATGAAACAAACTTGTAAAAGTTTATGGAAGTTAAAGGTAATCATTGCATACTTTTTAAGTATCAGATTATGGTATACATACTGTAGACATAGTACTTCATGGTAATGAACAGTCATTTATTATAAAACATGAGTTTATAAAGTACATATATCAGTATTATTTTTACATAACTATTCTATCTAATCATTGAGATATATTCCAGAGTATATTGGGGTATATGAAAAAATATAGCAAATTAAAATAGGGTATTTTGCATTTACATGTGAGCCTGCAAATCGAAAGCTAGTAAGTTAGTAAGTAAGATAATTAGAAGCATAAAGAAGAGAATATTTCTCTTTGGAAGGATCAGAGAAGTTTGCACAAAGAAGGGTATTTTTAATTTAGGCCTTTGATGGTAATTAATACTTTCCCAGGAGGAATTCACCACTTTTTGTAGAAAAGTGGCCTGAAGTTGCTATATCTGTCTGGAACTGCAGCGTCCAGGTCAGAGAGGACATAGTCCCACATACATAAGGGTAGATGAGTGTAGAAAGGCAGAGAGAAATCAATGCTTTGAGAATCTTGTAACAAAAAATATAGCAATTATTTTGAGTTTTTCCTTGTTCAGTCTAAAGTAAAATGTTATTTTTATTTTGTAATTCGATCATCTCCTTTGTTTTACTGATAGGAGTTTTTAAAGAAGTAATTAGGGGATTACAAAAAAAGTGCTTGCCAAAGAAGATGGTAAAACAAGGGTCAGTATCCATAAAATGAATATAAATCTGTGCAGCTTCATCTTAGTGTAGCATTGTAATTATTTTTCATAATGTGCATAAAAGGTTACTATATATAACCTTTAAGCATTTCCTCTACTTTTATACCCATATTGTTTTTTTTCATAATTCATAGCCATAATGTATTATCATATGAAATAAAATTTTGTACAGATTTCTTTTAGAAGCAAGATTTTTGGATCTTTCATGTAAATACATATCCTTCCTCCCTGATTTTTTAAAGATCTTAATTGTATTATTTTGCCTAGGTATTGGATGAATTTGCACAAAAATGCAATCACGTTGTTTGATCTTATGTTCCCCCTTTGGCATTTCTTGCCAGTATTTAGACCTCATAATAATTTTAAAAAATTAGGTTGGCATGGGAACAACTGCACAACCATAAAACTCATAAGAATTGGCAGGAGAATCAGGAGCTTGGATGATATTTTGGCAATTGCTTTTACAATTGAAGAGGAAACTTCAAATAAATAGACTATTCCAGTATTTTGAGTATCAAGAAGGCTTATTTTAAAATCCTCTTCTATTTAGAATTAAGCCATGACTGTTCATGGCTGGAATAGCTGCCCTGGCCTTGCAAACATGATCTATCTTGATTAGGACTGCTGGTCTTCAGAATTGGAACAGAGTTTTGCCCCATCATCAGGTTGCAATGATCCATTTTAATAATTAAGGCTTGTGGCCTCAATTCCCACAATATGAAATTCTTCCTTGCCAAGGTTAATTTACTCCTCAAAGATAAACACATTCTTTTTTTCTCTCCATCCTTGTAATATAGAAAGAAGACTTACTTTTAAAATATTGGAGCAGGCTCACTGCTTTTCAAATTGAAATCAAAGCTGTCACTGTCCACTTCATGGATGACTACAGTAGTCTTCTAACTGGTCTTCTGCTCTTAAAGGTACAAGCCCTCTCTACCTCATTCATTCGCCACATCACAGCCGGAGTTGTCATTCTAAAATACAAATTTAATGAAGATTTTTCCATACTTAAATCTGATAATGGATTACCAAGCATAAATTGTAATTTTACTAGCAAGGCTGCCAGGCCATTTGCAATCTGCCCCGCCTACCTGTCCAATGTTCCCTCTTTCTTCCTCTTGCCCAACCCACCCTTCCCTCTTTTGTAGACTACCTTCAGCACTCCAGCGTTCACTTTGTTAACATTGCTTCCTTCTTCCATTCTTACCTGAAATACGTTTTCTTCCGGAAAGCCTTGTCTGACCCTCAGTCTGCGATTGATGTTGTTTCAGTGTACTTACGGTAATGTTATGCTTATCGCATTATGTTTCCTATTTATTCCTGATTTCCACACATTAGGGAGAAAGTATAAGGGTAGGTGCCTTGTTCACCCTTTGTCCTGGTGTCATACTTATCACTTAGAAGGTACTTAGTAAATATTGACTAAATTGATGGGATAAAAAATGTGAAAAGCATGAGATTATTAAGACACCCAGGTTCTTGCTATCAACTAACTGAAAAGGCTTGATCAAATCGTAATAACTTCCCTGAACCTATCTCCATTTCCTCAACTGTAAAATGAATGTGTCTGAACTATGTAAATTCTATATCTCCTCTGGTCTAATAGTCTAGGATTCTAGTCTATGATTAAACCAAAAAATTACTGAGCACTGTGTTTTCCAACAAAGTGTTGCATATAAGATACAATGCAAGAGATATGAAAGAAAGAAATTGATAATATAGTTGGGGAAAGAAGGCCTGAATATGAAAAGCGAAAATAAAAGGCATAAATCTTTATAAAATACATCAGCCTTTCTATTTATCAAGGAAAAAGAACTGAAGAATGGTAGCACTGGTTGTTTTATTTTGAAGCATGCTCCTGGAAAAAACTTAGGATGCTACATAAAGCTAGAAAATATCTTAAAATGAGAAGGTAGTGTGAAAAATGATATCAGTGTCATGACGGTGAGCCCTTTATAACAGCAGAAGAGCATTAAAGCTTCACAAAATGGGATTTTCTAGTTACAGAGCAGTACCAGAGTGCCATTGGGTGACAAATATCTGCAAGTAAGTTTTGTTGGTAACATTTTTAGGTCAGTTTACTTACACTATACCTATAGACCTTGACTTAATATGACTCACATTGAAAGCTCAGTGTTTCCAAATAATAATAAGAAGAATCTTTTCTATGGTGTAACATTAAGAGCAGTATGTCACATTTGTGCATTTTGGTTTTCAGTGGACTGAAAGCTTAGTTTTTCCAGACCTCCTGAATCTCATGATATGTCAAAAGGTGAAATTGAACCAACAGGAACTGTTACTGATATTCATAACTAAGTTTATTTATGAGAGTTTGATTTTTTTAGTAGTATAAAAAGTCAACAGGAAAATTTGGAAAGCATTTACAGTTGGCCTTCATTGTTAAATTAGATAACATCAATAAGGCATCTAACATGGAGAGGGGCTCATGCTGGGCATTCAGTTAACGTGATTTCCCATTCTTTTTATTCGCTGTCTTCTTGGTCTAGACATTGGGCTATTAAAATATATAAATCTTCAACCGTCAATCATTTGTGCTTATCCTTTCCCATGTAAAAATTTTTGTACCTGGAAAGATGACCTACAAAAAGCAAAACATTTCAGCTCACAGGAAATAAGATATTTGAATTCACCTTCTACTATGTATGATAGAAGATAATTTTCTAGAATAAAGGGAAAATGAAAAGCAATCTTATCAAAATTGCACTGTTTCTAAGTCTTGAATACCCTTGTTTCCCATTTTGCTTGGCTAAATTCCTGTCATGCTTTATGATCCTGTTCAACATACCACAATTCCCATTAAGCCTTTCTTGACTTCACTACTTGGAAAAAAATAGATTTTTTTCTTCATACCCATTGCAGATTATCTTTGAATATTGCAGGGTTTGGGGTTGAGTATGTCCATGATATGATAGAGTTGGAGGGGTGGGGGGGTGTCTGGAATTATTTTATCAAACCTCCAAATTTAAAAGATGAGAATACGGTGCCAAATAAATTAGTAATTTAGTCATTGTCTATTTTTATATAGAATTTCTGAAATTTTTGTATTACATTTATGTTGTATCCCTACACATCAATATACCTTTCGCTTCCATACTATCTGGTTTGAAAGGCTCTCCAAAATGTCTGCATATCTATTTTTTTTTTTTTTTTTGGTAACTGCCGAAAAGAAAGCCCATGTTTGGTCATGAGTTTTGTTTTTGTTTATATTTTTCCAGAACATACTGCTGTCTTCTGCCTTCATATTGGCACTGTTTTCAAAACCATGCTTTTTGAACTTTATGATGTCTTCTTGGTTGATACAATTTCCACTCATTTGTCCTGCCAGCCTCCTGTGGTTCAGGACCCAAAGCCTCACTTGAGAGTGTCTGTAGTGAAGTATTTCTTGATTACTCCAGCATGAGATCTTCTCTAACTCTTTATGCATTTCTTTTCTGTTTCTTAAATTCCCATATTGTTATATATGCATAGAATCATTCATTAGCTCTTTCATGCACTTATGTCTTACTTCAACAACTAGACTACTGTAAGCATCTTATGGGTGGGTTTTTTGCCTAGCACTGTTGCCTCATGTGTGTTCAGTGGATGCTCAATGAGTCTTCTTGGTACTTGGAAGGTCATCTGCTATATGACACATTTTGTAGCCTTTGATGTTCCATTGAGAAGCTTTCCAGAATATTTTAAGAATCGTGTACCTAGAACCAATATACTAGCTGGGCCTAAAAGAAATGTCATTTGTTGTAGCTTATTAGAAGAAATTGGAAAGAGCTTGGAGGAATAGCAGATAGTATTGGTAATTGTGATGAGGGTGAATTTTTCTGGACAATGCTGGTTTTTTAAAACTACAAAATATAACTTCAAATTAGCCTTTGAAAAGATGGCTCACCATAACCAAAGAAGGGTAAGATGGAATTGCATCATACATTGAGTGCGAATACTAATTAACTGGTTTATATTTTCATTACAAAATCATTGTGGCAACGCAAAGAAAAAATGAAGAAGTGGTTATTTCAAAGCATTTATCTGTTGGCTCACTTATCCAATGTGTTCAGATAAATGAAATCTGACAGGATTCCCAGCAGGGCTGCTGTCATGGCGTTGATGCTTTTGATTAGATACCAAAGAAGGCCATCTTCAGAGGCTGTTTTTGGATTAATTCCCGGGGCTGATAGCTACCACCACAGTACCTTTAAAAAGAAATACTGTTACAAGGTATTCATATGCAAATAGGACAGTGATTTAATGTTGTAAAAGTTTGAGAGATTTGGGAAAATCAACAAAATGGTCCTTTGAAAATTTTGTGATTATCTAGTAGAAATAAAAGAGATAATAGCTTTGTGAAGTAGACCAAAAGCAGGGGCGATGGGCTGAGCATGTCAATTCATTTTCTCAGGGGGCATAATGGAACCTTTATAAAAGTCCATATCTATTACATCACAAAACACAATTTCTACACCTTAATACCAGATTGCTAACATTATCACTGTAGGGACTGTAACGTCTGGTAAATTGAAAATAAAAGATAAGCTTTTCTTTTTTTAGTCTGAAAGTTAATGCCACTTTAAAAGAAACATCTTTGATAATGGTATGTATTAAACTACTTAAATTAACCAATAAATCTAGTTGAAATAGTGACGAAAATGTAGCCCCAAGCTGAGCTATATTTCTAAGTGTTGGGGGAAAATACTACCTGTATAGGATTTTGATAGAAAATGTCTGAATAGTTTTATGAAATAAAGATCAATTATGATTACATGAAATTTTCTTACAATTTTAAATAGGCTTAAACATAGCTTTTTGAAATATAACAATCCCAAGCAAAACTGTAGGAGTTTTTAAATCAAAATCTTATTTATCATTCGTTCATTGGCAGGATCAGTGAAACATTGTTAGAAAAATATAAAAATTGGGTCAGGATGCAGTGGCTCATGCCTGTAACCCAACACTTCGGAAGGCCGAGGTGGGAGGGTCACTTGAGGCACAGGAGTTTCAGACTAGCCTGGAAAACATAGCAAGACTCCTGGAAAACATAGCAAGACTCTATCTCTACAAACAATAAAAAACAAAAGCAACACCAAAAAACCGAGCTTGGTGGAATGCACCTATAGTTCTAGCTACTCAGGAGGCTGAAGCAAGAGGATGGCTTGAGCTCAGGAGTTCGAGGCCACAATGCGTTATGATCGCACTACTGCACTCCAGCCTGGTCAACAGAGCGAGACTGTCTCAAAAAAGAAAAATATAAAAGTGGAATTGAGAAGTGTTAGGGCCAGATGGAGAGAATATAAGAGCGTGGTAGTGATGGGAGAGTGAAGGAATTAAAACAAGCAGTAAAGTTCTGCTAATGATAATGATAGAAAGCAAGTTATCTGACAGAAATACAAAAGGAATCATATTACTAAATACAGAGCTAGTTGGGGTGGGAATTGAGCTGTCCTCTAACTTTAAAACACTCTGACCCGATTTTATGATTCATAGACATGTTATAATAGAAAATTAGGAGGGTTTTTTTTTTTCTTTTCTTTTTGAGACAGGGTCTTTCTCTGTTGCCTAGGCTGAGTGCAGTGGCATGACCATGGCTCATTGCAACTTGTGTGCCTCCGGGTCTCAAGTGATCCTCCCACTTCAGCTTCCTGAGTAGCTGGGACCACAGGCCTGGACCACCATGCTCAGCTAATTTTTGTATTTTCTGTAGAGACAGGTTTCACCATATTGTCTAGGATGGCCTCAAATTGCTGAGCTCAAGTGATCCACCCACCTCGGCCTCCCAAGGTGCTGGGATTACAGGAGTGAGCCACTGCACCCCGCTAAGAGGATTTTCAGAGGATTTATTTGGTATTTTAAGCTGTTTGATATCATAAAAATATTTTTGATGTTCATTGCTATTTCTGTCAATTGTGTTATATTTTCTTTAGAGTCTAACAAATGGCTCATTACACCCTTAAAAGGATAAGAAGTAAAGCATAAATCAGAAAATCTACCTCTGAAAAAAGTATCAAATTGTAATTTATTGCATAGTGTAATTTCCCAAAAGCGTGCCTTCTACTCAAATAGCAGTGAATTGGGAGAAAAATGTCTATTTTGTAATTTAGAAAACCTATGTCGAGAGTAAGATCTGAGAGATTCTGTCTCTATAATGTGCATGATTTCATCTGGAACGTGTCTATACTCCTTTAAAAAGCCAATACCATAGCAGCAGGTATCGTATTACTTAAAGGCATATATTTATAACTATGGAGCTGATCTGCAGGGCTATCAAATGGGGAAAATAACCTGTCATAATTTTGAAAGCCTAAGTTCCTAGGGTGCCTTTTCTATTTTTTTTTCCTAATATACCACAAATTGGACAGGATGGAGATTTAATTCTCATTATAGTCTAAGCTACTCCTGATCAGAGGGTCTCAACCTTATTTTTGATTGACCTATTAACTTCATTATTGAAAAGAGACCCTTTGAACTACCCATTCAAATGGCTTATATTTGACGTTTTTCTTCCACGCACACATCCACAGACAGGTTTACATAAACCCATTCCTTAGAAGGATGGAGAAAAGAAATGACTGGAAGGTGGAGTGATCAACCTTAGACCTTCCAACCAGAAGCTTAGTAGGCAGTTCTGGGGATCCTAGTGTCCCCACTGCATTTTCAAGCCTCCCCCTTCTTTTACTGTCTGGGAGTCACACCCAGAGAACTTAGACCGTCCAGTTAGCCAAGGACTAGCTGGAAGTTCCAAGACTTTTTAGGATTTTTCAAAATACAATTATTCTCTTAAAGACATTTCCTCAAATCTTTGCCCTGCTCAGAAATATAGGAAATCTCCAAGAAAGAATAATGATTTTTATTGAATATTAAATCTTAAAATGCTTTTCTGATTTAGTTGTTGAATTGTGTAAATAAAGCCTGATATGTGATTTATAAAACTTAACAATGTAGTAAGATTTGAGGACTTCTTTTTTACCGCAACTAAATATCAAAGTGCTACATGAAAATCTACTGAAGCAAGAAGACGAACTGCAATCACAAGGACATTCTTATCTTTCATGATAATTCAGCAGAGATTTACTCATTCTGTTTTAGCTATATGCACACTAGGTGTAAACAGATGTTTCTCTCAGGAGAAAGTACATGTCTGGTATGTTTAAGACAGCAATTAATACCTAAGGCATAAGTGGGTAAATGTATATTGAGTTTTTGCATTTGTTTGAATACGTGGAGATTTTTGGCCCTAGATCTACTTAGCCTGCCAGTTACAAGTTAACAATTATGAATGTGATGAAATAGTTATTTATTTTCTGAGTGGTTAAATTATCAACTTAGTAAATGGCTTTTATTTATCCATAGGGGAATATGGAAAATAATAATAATTTAAATTTTGTGTAGCATTTGGTAGCATATAAGTTGCTTACAAATATCTTCCAAGATCCTCACAACCACCATGAGAGGAGGTAGAGCAAATTCTTTCCTATATTTTACAGGTAAAATAGGAGCTCAGAAGTTATGACCTGCTCAATATCACACAGCTAATAAGGATCAGACATAAGGCTTGAAATCTCTTCTCCCTCTGTATTCTCAACTTCCCCATCATGCCACAATGGATTTGTAAATTAATAGCATTTTGTTGGAGATAATATTTGCTTTAAGAAGTAATCAATGCCCAGCACATTAGAGCAAATAATACATTTATACTTTTTTTTTTTTTGAGATGGAGTCTCGCTCTGTCGCCCAGGCTGGAGTGCAGTGGTGTGATCTCGGCTCACCGCGAGCTCCCCCTCCCAGGTTCACGCCATTCTCCTGCCTCAGCTCCCTGAGTAGCTGGGACTACAGGCGCCTGCTACCGCGCCCAGCTAATTTTTTGTATTTTTAGTAGAGACGGGGTTTCACCGTGGTCTCGATCTCCTGACCTCGTTATCCGCCTGCCTTGGCCTCCCAAAATGCTGGGATTACAGGCATGAGCCACTGCGCCCTGCCAGTACATTTATACTTATAAGTGAAATAATTGAAATAAATTGTTACAGTGTTATAATATGAAGAAACAGCACTTTAGCAAAGATGTAACTGTTATTATTCAGAATAGATTGATGGCATAAAAATTCATAAATGTCTATCTTAGAACTATCAATCTTGAATAAAAGTTATACAGTTTATATCCCTAAAATACGTATCTGTGATTGTAGTTGAACCATTTCTAGAACACCGAGTTGGAACATTACTGCATGACAGCACTTGTGTATTACCAAGTTACTTGCAGTTTTGAAACTACCACACAATGACTTGCTGACATGTTAGGAAAGAGAGAAATGATAAAGTACCAGGCAAAAACATTTTGTGGCATAGTAAGCAAGTTGTTTTCACTGTCTTTGGTGTAAAGCTTAGTACTTTTCCATTATCTTTCACTTTTCCTATGTGCTTTATTATACATATTTCACTTCCTGTGGATATACCCTTTGCCCTTTCTGTCAGCCTTCTGTCCTGCCAGTATCACTGAGAAGCAATAATTGGATGAGGTTTAATAAAGTAAGACTTGTCACCCAGCTAAAAGACCTTTGACAAAATCTATCGTTTAAAATTGATCTAAGGCATTTTTATCCCATATGCTAAACTTTTCACTCACTTCTCATTGGGATATATTGAGTATGGAATACATCTATGTTTGAATTTAGAATAGTAAAGTATTATCTTATCTGTAGGTTTCATTGGACTATTTCATACCGTAAGATTTAAGGCAGAAAGTTCATAATAACCCATTTGATGTCAACTAATTGTCAGAGTTAATATAGCCAAATACTGCTAAAAGACAAAAAATGTATATATTCTGGTTCTGATTGTTTTACATTCCTATTTTTTTTAAATACAGAGCTTACATTTAAAAATGAAGAGTTGTATGGGATGTAGCACCATTTCAGGATTGTGGAGCAGAGATAGGCAAACTAATGGCTGCAGACCAAATCTGACCACACCAGTTTTTGTGAATAAGTTTTTGATTGGAATGAAGCTATTCATTTGCTTATATATTGTTTATGGCTGTTTTTAATCTATAAGGGCTAAGTTTGAGCAGTTGCAATAAAGACCATATGGCTTGTGAAACCTAAAATACTTTCTATGTGGCCTATTAAAGTTTGCTGAACTATTATAGAGGCTTCAGCTTGTAGTTTAACTGGTACTGTTTTCTGCACTCATTTTATTACTTTATTATTTTCAATATTTTTCCCCTTTGGGAATATGACTGCTTTACAGCAGAAAAAGTTGTTTATTGTTGAATAAACCTTCTTACACATTGTACATGTGTTTTAAAATAGCTTACATTTCTTCCAAAAAAGTATTCAATAGCAATGACCTAAAGAGACATTTGCACAATGGAACATCTGAATCCAGAACATATTAAGAATTATTTTCTCTGCATACTAACATTCCTTGTCACCTAGTGATAACCGTTGCATGTATCTCTCTAAGAACCCCGATGATACAGCCCATATTTGTCTTGAGGAAAGCCTTTACATATGTTTTCAATTCAAGTTATTTGTAGCTAATATGTAATCTGTAACATATTAACAATTTATAAAGATATCCTAAATCAATTTGTTTGTCTTGAGTTTCTGGACTCTCAGGAGGCAAACCGTGTTTCCATTTCCAGTAGAGATTACTATTGCTTATGTACATCCAGTTTTCCAACAGTCATGTCCTCATAGGAAGATTCCACTTCCTTTGTAGTTAGGTGGGGTTTCATTACTACTTCTAGCAAATTACATGTGCCAGAAGTCATTTATGTGTCACTTGCTGCCAAGACATTTAGAAACAAACGTGCCTCTTCTATGTTTCCAACTGCCCTGCCTTTGATAGCTCGGAAGGCATGTGTAAAGAAGGCAGCACACCACAAGATAGAGGAAGGGTGCCTGGGTCTCTGAATCACTGCATGGAGTCAAGACTCTACTGACATGTCTTTCTGTGTGCCAGAAATAAACTCTTATATTTTTATTTTTTTCTGTTTCAAGGTGCTAAGCTTGCCACACTCTTAGATTTGAGAGTGTATTAGTTTTTCAATATGGCCAGTTTTATCATAACTAATGTACTATTATTTTGTAAGCTTGCTTGCACATCCTTACTTAGGCCCATATGCTTGTCTTTAACAATGATTTTGAATGAAAAATTTTCTCTTTTCAGAGGTTTATTGAGAATGACACTCTCTGGATTTAGAATCAGAACTGAAGTGTTCGAGTTCACTCTGACATTTTTGTCTGGGCAACTCTGTTTAGTATTTGCATACAGGAGAATTTAGATAGTTGAGAAACTGAAAAAAAAAAAAACAAAAAGAAAACGCTTGTATCTCGATTCCAGGATTGAGAGTCAGGAGCGCTACCCTGTGTATAAACTTTTAGCTCAGATCTGAATATTTGTATGGGTTCAGTAACTATTCTGCCTTCAAGAGCCAGTTCCGATTAGTTTGTACTTCTAACAATAAGCACAGCTCTCTATAGATAGATTTCTGCAAAATAAAAATAAAAATCACAAAACAATTTTTGTTAATCAAATAGTGATTCAAGGCTTGAGATGGCTTACTATCATACTTTCTTTTTGAACCATTTTATAAATCAAAATACATTTGTAAAGAGAGAATGCCTTATACATTTTAATTTGAGTAATAATTTCAATTCTGATATTACTAATCACAGGCTGGGAAAACAAAGCTGAGACCATCTAATACAACAATTTTACTTTACAACACAGCAAACTAGAGATTGTGGAAGGAAAATGATTTGAGGTTATGCAGCTGGTAAGAAAAAAAGACAGGAACTCAAATATACAAGGCATCCAGGACAGGGTTCTCTCCACTTTTACCTACAAAATGATTAGTGCAGGGATATTTATTTTGATCAGAAACTTGATTACCTAGAGAGAGAAATAATATATTCGGATGCAAGTTAGAATGACAGATTAGATGAGGGTTACATTAAATAGAATTAAGCAAATTAAATGTCAAATTTATCAGGAAACATGAGATCTGTTTCTCTAATCTGGCAGGAGACAAAAGGAGGGAAAGATACCAAGATACCTCCTTTAAAATGAGGAGCATCTTGTTTTCTGTCAAAAAATGACTGAGGAGGCACAGCCTAGAGAAATGCGTGGGGAAAAAGCCCATTTGGCAGATGGAGCAGTGTGCTTTCTATGATGGAACAAAAAGATGGGGCCTATGGGGGAACTTATAAGGAAGAAGGAATGGCTCACAAATCTGTGATTACAGACTTTGCTTTTACTGAGAAAATCTGGGAGAGACTGCAGCAAAAAGATTGTAGGAGGATTGTAGAGGGTCAAGTTTGGACATGAATCAACGAGCTGGTGGGAGCCTTTGCATAATTTCATGCAATGACTTTGGAAGATGACTTTTAGGCAGACTGTATGAGGAAGGGGGACTGAAAGCAGGAATATAGGAGGCCCCCCTTATACCTCACGATGGTAGTTCATGCCGAAGAGACATGCTCTGGATGATTTTAAGAGTAATGGGAAGGCAGGCACCGAAGTCAGATGTTTTGAAAAGGAGAGTATTGCATTTGGTTACTGATGAGTTAGTTATTGAGAGGAAGCAGGGAAAGAGAAAACAAATGACATTTAGAGCCCATTGTGAAGGCAGAGCAGTTGATATCAATTGTTAGCTGAATTGAGGACTTGTAAGAGAAAATCTGGTTCGTCTGAGAGAAGATGCAATGGGATTTATAGATGAATAGAGAACTTCAATAAGGATTTTGAGATGAAGTAAAATTAGGGCTTTCACATAGAACTCATTTAATTTATCTTTAGAATTATGAACTATATTGCTCTTGAGCATTCTTGGTTTTCTTTTTGTTTTTTTTTTTTTTTGAGCCAGGTCTCGCTCTCTTGCCCAGGCTAGAGTGCAGTGGCGTGATTATGGCTCACTGCATCCTCGACCTCCTGGACTCAAGCGCTGCTCCCACCTCAGTCTCCTGAGTAGTTGGAACTACAGGCGCTCACAACCACATCTGGCTAATTTTTGTATTTTTTGTGGAGACAGGTTTTCACCATGTTGCCCAGGCTGGTCTCAAACTCCTGGGCCCAAGCGATCCACCTGCCTTGGCTTCTGAAAGTGTACTGTGCCCTGCTTTTTTTCATTTTTCTTTACTACTTAATAAACTACCCACACAACGCATGACTTCAAACAGCAACAATTGTTTATTTGATCATGAATCTGTAAGTAGGACAGAACTTGCCAGAGACAGCTCATTCCTGCTCCACACAGCATCAACTGGGATAGCTGGCTTGGAGGATTCACTATCAAGGTGACTCTCTCCAGTGGCTGGTAAGTTGGTGCTAGCGGTTAGCTGAGAGCTCACTTGAGGATGTGGGCTGGGAACCTTATTTCTTCTCCAGTGAGCTACTTGGACTTCCTCACGGCATGGTGGCTGTGTTTCAATAACAAGCATCACAAGTGATGAGAAGTGAAACTGCCTATGTATTAAGGCCTGGGCCCAGAAACGGACACATTACTTTTCCACTTATTTTTGTCAAGCATTCCTAGAGTTCAGATTCATAAGGAGATGTTGTCTCTATGTCTCAATAGGAAGAGATGTTTTTAAACCACTGCAAACTAAAGCATAAGATCAAAGCTATTCTTCAGAGGTTATTGTTCTAGAAGCAATATCTGAAGCAGGAGAATGGATAACTCCTCTCAAAGAATAAAGCAAGCTACTAGCAGAAGGTCCAAAACTCAATACTATTGTTTGCACATTAATGACTTGAAGATAAAACAAATTTAAATAGCAACAAATCATGAAGGGAAATTAAAGTTGAGAAGATATCAGGGTAGTGCTGGTGGTATATTATTTTCTTCTTAGGAATTTGCTCATTTATGTTAGGTTTCAACTATGTTCTCGCGGTGAAAGAGTCAAGGCCTTCTTATATAACTAATATTGCAAAATAGATGTGAACATTTTAGTTGGAGGCTGAAATGCTCAAACCTAATCTCACAAAAGAGAGAAAAAGAGAGCAACAGTGAGATAGTGCTCATAGTGTTACCAGAAGGCAGGCCTTGAGTGTGGTATGTCCAGGTTCTTGGCGTGTTTTACAAAGAATTGAACAAAACGCACCAAGTAACGAAGGAATGAAATAAAGAAATGAAACACTGAAAGGAGGGATTTTTTTTTTTTTTTGGGAGACGGAGTCTCGCTCTGTTGCCAGGCTGGAGTGCGGTGGTGTAATCTCGGCTCACTGCTACCTCTGACTCCCTGGTTCAAGCAGTTCTTCTGCCTCAGCCTCCCAAGTAGCTGGGATTACAGACACGCGCCACCACACCCAGCTAATTTTTGTATTTTTAGTGGAGACAGGGTTTCACCATGTTGGCCAGGATGGTCTCCATCTCTTGACCTCGTGATCCGCCCACCTCGGCCTCCCAAAGTGCTGCGATTACAGGCGTGAACCACCACACCCGGCCGAAATGTAGGGATTTATTTCAGTGAGGAGACATTCCACAGGGTGGGAGCGGCCCTGAGTGAGTGGCTCAAGGTCCCATTTACAAAGTTTTCTGAGGTGTAAGTACTCCTTTTGAGATTCCTATTGGCTACCCCCTAAATGTGTGAAGGATTTGGCCCGTGGCTTGAGGCTCAAGTGAATTGGTCCTTGGCCAATCAGAGGCCTGAGTGGATGGGTGCCCTATGCAAATGAAGGGATGGTCCACGCTTGGCCCATCGCCAATCCGAGGCACTTTCCCTCTTCATCTGAGATATAGTGGAAGCGGGAGAGGGTTGTAGGGAGAGTTGCCTCTGATCCTTTGTTACCCAGCCGTGGAAATGGGGGTTTTTCTATTGAGCCAGCCCTAGGAAATCAGCGCGAATTGGCCTTGGGTTACCTGCCACCAGAACCAGGTGTTTTCCTTTTGAGTCATGTTTATGAAAATAGTGTGAATTCCCCTTGGGTTCCCTGCCCCCGCTTCCCTGGTGTTTGCCTTCTGATCCAGCTTTATGAAATAAGCGTGAATTGGCCTTAGGTTCTCTGCCTCCAGACCATATTCTCCTGCCTCAGCAGGACTCATTGTTGGTTATGCTATTTTAAAAATTCTTGCAAAACTTTTTCTTTTTTCTTTTTGAGATGGAGTTTCACTTTTTTTTGCCCAGACTGGAGTGCAATGGCGCGACCTCAGCTCACTGCAACCTGTGCCTTCCAGGTTCAAGTGATTCTCCTGCCTCAGCCTCTTAAGTAGCTGGGATTACAGGTGCATGCCACTATGCCCAGCTAATTTTGTATTTTTAGTAGAGACAGGGTTTCTCCATGTTGGTCAGGCTGGTCTCGAACTCCTGACCTCAGGTGATCCGCCCGCCTTGGCTTCCCAAAGTGCTGGGATTACAGGAGTGAGCCACCACGCCTGGCCTCTTTAAAAACTTTCGTATGAAGGTGCTGGCTAGTGCCATACTGCTCTGCCCACTCTGCCCTAGGAAGGAAGGAGGCAGCAAACTTGAGCATCATGTGAATTGTGATATGCACACCTGCTTTGCTTTGATTTCACTTTGGTGAAACTTAATCCCTTTGCCCTGTGGGCTGGAGGACAATAATTATGTGATGAAAAGTAACTGAAGGCTCTCTGGCTATCTTGCTAGAAACCATGTAATTTAAGTAATGAATCTCATGCAGCATTCAGCTGGGTCAGCCTATCCATGGATCTTATAGGAACGACCAGATGATCATTGTGAACATAATTTTATGAGCTTACAATTTCTCCTAAAGTCTCTAGAGCCGAATGTATCTCTTTAATCATCTTCAGATAATACTGACACTGTAAGAGTCTTTTTGATGCAATGGTGGAGTTCTGAGGTAACTCAAGGATCATCTGACTGGCCTGCTTCCTACCTCCCTCCCTAAAGACAGAAATAACAGGAATCCATTCCTGTAATTCAAAGCCATAATTTAACCCCATTTAATATTCTCACTAACGTGCCATTGGCTTTATGAATTCACTCTAGATTTCTAAGCTCACGATAGATTTTTAAAAATGATAAAATGTCTCTGAATAATTAACTAATGAAAATGTCCCTGTGGCCTCAAGAGAAGAAAGAATGCCACATGCAATCCTTTATTTTTAAAATTATTTGATTTAGTGACTGTAACATTAAAAGTTTAATGTATATTTGTATATATGTATATTCCTATTATTTTATAAAAGAAAATTGCCCATAAAGAGATTGCCTTATTGCTTTTTTAGCATATAAATGATAATGCTGTTATGAGAGTAACCATATCTATTTCTGCAATGTCACCTGTAATTTTAACAGCAACAATAATAATAATGGCTAACATGTTCACAAAACTATGTAGCCTTAGTGTCTCACATATATTAACTCATTTAACTACCCAGAACTCTGTGAGTATTTAAATATATGATGGGTGAGAAATGCTTGGAGTTTGCCCATAATTTCTGTTTTCCTGAATCAAGTTTAACCAACTTAGATTTGCTTTCAGTATTTCTTATTTGATTATCTAGTAGAACTGCTTAAGATACAGACATCCTGTAATGTTATTCAAATTTGCAATTAAATCTTCTGTGACTCATTGCAAATAAATAACTATACTCTCAACATTCTGTGATCCTTTCTGTGTCTTATGATTCTGTGATCATTTCTCGTATAAACATTTTTTCCTGTATGCTCAGCTATACTTGAAATAAGTACTCAATTGGCCAACATTCCTTCTCAAATTTTAAAACTCAGCTCGAGTGACATCTAGAAACATGAATTTTAGTTGATTTGTAAGTTGCTTATGAATTATATGTCATGATTCATTAGCAGAAAATAAAAAGAAATTCTAAAAACATTGGGCTCCTGGGATCTGTAAGCTGGGAAAGGAGAAGGCATTGTCTTCTTTGCTGTGGTTTCTGCAGAATGATCTCCATCATCATCAAGAAAAATCAAGATTTTACCAAATATTTGTTTTAGGTCTCTATTATGAGTGTGTGTGTGTGTTTTATTTTTTGCATATTTGTTTTTCGAATCCTTTCCAATTATGAATAATTTTAACCAGGTTCTTGTTAAAAATTACTGTAAGACCATCAAACCTCAAAATGTAGAAATGGAGAAAATTGAAACCCAATTTCATTCTATTTTTGCAGTCGTTTTCACAATGTAATCATTTATGATTCTTTCACTGAAACTGAGGATAACCTGTATCTGTCACTGCGTAACAACTAATACAGCCAGTTGGCCTATTTTTTGTTCTAGCAAAGTAATAAATATATTCCATTAAGTATTTATTTAGCGAGCACACACCACACAGCATAGACGTATTCATGTTAGTAGCAGAGCCTCTTACAATACATATTAATAATGATTTCTATTCATTCTTTTAATTTTCAAATATCTTCGATATAGAGTGAACACTGTGGAATCAGGTTTAGAGATGGGTCACACACACCATATGCGTAGCTCTGGGGCTAGAATTTAAACCTCCTGATCAATCCTATGTACTTTCTAAAAACTCTTATTTTATGAATCAAATGTATTGAAAACCCTTTCTTACCCATTTTGTGTTCTGAGCTCTTAGCACAGTTGTTCAATGGTTGTTTACTGAATATATAAATATATGCAGCATAGCATTCAAAATCCACTTGATTTCATTAACAGAGCTTTCCAATTCCTATGCAACAAATGGATTACAGGTGTGTAAAGATATTTATTCCCTTTAGCCCTCAGGACATTCAGCGAGAAGCAGGGCATAGGGTAGTGAGCAACCTCAGACCTACCTCTGCGTTTGATAAAAATTTAATCACTTTCTGAGTGTACTGTCCTAAAAAAAATAACTGAGAACCATATGTTTAAAACCCATATTACTAATTTCAAGAGAATTTAATGAAATTGATTAAAATTTTAAATTAAGTTATTAAAAGAGCAGCAAAATTAACGCATGGAAAACAGAAGGAATAAATTAATCAAGATAAAAATAATAGTGAATTATTAAACAGAAAGTAGTAGAATTCATAAATAAATCCAAACCTATTTCCTTGAGGGGAGGGGTAAGGAGAAAACAAAAACTATTAGTAAATCCCATTGGAAAATAAGACTGTATAAATTCGAAATGAGATCAGCAGAATAACTACAACTGTAGGGTGAATTAAAGAACTTACAAACTTATAATGATTTGTTCAAGCCTATTCAAATAAATATGAAACCTGAACGAAATGGGTGACTTCTAAGAAAATACAAATCTCCAAAATTGATCTCAGAAGAGATCTATGGCAATGGAAGAAATGGGTAATATTTTCAAACACCAAATCTCCAAAGAGTGCTAGGCCAATGATTTCAGAAGTGAACTCTCTACAAACATTGAGGTATGGAGAACTTGTCTTAATCCGTTTTGTGTTGCTGTAACTGAATACCTGAGGCTGGGTAACTTAAAACAAAAATAAACAAACAAAAAAAAGGTTTATGTAGTTCACAGTCCTGCAGGCTGGGAAGTTCAAGAAACATGGTGCTGGCAATTGCTTGGCTTCTGGTGAGGGCCTCATGCTGATTCTAGTCATGGTAAAAAGTAGAAGGGGACTGGGTATGTACGGAGACAAGGAGACCTTTTGGTCAGAGAGGAAGCAAGAGAGCCAGGTTATTTTTAACAGGCAGCTTTCATGGGTAAATGATTGAAGGAAGAATCCTCTCACCCTGAAGGAGGTTATTAATCTATGCATGAGGGATCTCCTCCCATGACCCAAAAAGTTCCTACTAGGCCCTACTTCCCAATATTATCACATTGGGGATTATATTGCAACATAAGTTTTGGTGAATACAGACCATATCTAAACCACAGCACAACTTTAATGCTATTCAAACTGCGTGCTACTTTGAGAACAAAAGAGTTCTAAAATATTGTTACAAAATCAGCAGAGCATGATAACAAAACTTTTAAAACTTGACATAAAATGACAAACTAATCTCAATTATGAATCCCTATAAAGTAATACAAATATTAATTAGAAAAGAATGGTGCATTAACAAATAATATACCCTGATTATATAATGAAGAGGGGCTCATGTAAGGAATGCAGATTTAGATCAGCAGTAGTAATCCATCAATACAGTCTACCATATTAATATGTAAATGGAGAAAAACACTTTTTAAATATATGTATAATTAATAAAAAAATTCAACACCAAATCCTGAATTTTTTAAAAGGTGACTATAACAGAAGTTGAGAAACATTTCCTTCCTGTGATACAGACTCCAAAACAAAGTCATGATTAGTTGTGAAACAGATTTCCCAGTAAAGTGGGAAACAAGAATGATGAGTACTATCACCACCACATTTAAAATTGCCACGTATTTTTAAATTCATAATCAGATAAGAAAAAAAATAAGTATTACAAACTAAGAATTAATAGAAACTATTGGATTATTTATATGTGATCCACTAAACATGTAAAGTCCAAGAAATAGATCTACAAATGAAACTAGTAAGACATTTCAATAAAGTGACAGGTTATAAAAGGTAAATCATAAAAATTAGAAGTCTGTATGTAATAAAAGGATGTAAAGTATAATGGATGGAAAAGTTTCATTTACAATACCAAATACATTTAGACTGTCTAGGCATAAATGTTTAGCCTATCTGGACATAAATGTGAAAGCTTATAAGAGAAAAATTTAAAATTAAAGTATATGAATGAGATTTGAATCAATGAAAAGGCTCATTTGTTCATATGTAGAAATAAAGTGTTAATATGTAATATGTATATAATGTCAATAGTGTTAATATGTAAATGTTCTCAAAACTTGTCTTATAAATGCATGTGACACTTTTGAAAATATCAAGTATTAGTGTAAAAAATGACAACTAATAAGTTGCTAATAGTAATTATTAATGCTATGTACAACACATCATTTACTAATTAGTAGTAAAAGATGCTACTAATGTTCATGTGGAAAAATAAACATATGAAATTAACCAAAGAATATTTTTAAAAGAAGGGTAATAAAAGGAATAGGAATGCTAGATATTACAGCATATTGTAATGTCATGATAATTTAATCAATTTGGGATTTGTATAAGCAGAGAAGTAAAACCAGAACTAGTCAAGATAGTCCAGATATCAGTTCAAATAAATAGCAGATTTCACAGGTTAATTAGTGGGGAAAAGATGGAATATTCAATAATTGCCAGGGGAAGAATTGGCTCTTTTGGCAAAAAGCTGTTGTTGCTATATGCTTGTCTCCTACTGCAAACTAAACTGGAGCTTTCAAAAGGATTTGAAAAAAATAACAGCACTCAATTATAGAAACCAATTTTGGTAAGATTTGCTATATATATGAGTGCTTATGCCTTCCCATGCATCATAATCCTACAAACGATGATTAAACACTGGTGAATTTGACCATTATTAGAAACATCTTGATATGGTTTGGCTCTGTGTCCCTGCCCAGATCTCATGATGAATGGTAATCCTCACATGTTGAAGGACGGCCTGTTGGGATGTGATTGAATCATGGGGCAGACTTTCTACCTCCTGTTCTCATGATGGTCTTCTGACAAGATCTGCGTGTTTAAAAGTGGGTATCACTTCGGCCTTAGCTCTCTCTCTCTCTCTCCTGCTCCACCATGGTAAGACGTGCTTACTTCCCCCTCACCTTCTGCCTTGATTGTACGTTTCCTGAGGCACCCTAGCCATGCTTCTTGTATAGCCTGTGGAACTTTGAGTCAATTAAACCTCTTTTCTTCATGAATTACCCAGTCTCATGTAGTTCTTTACAGCAGTGTGAGGGATGTGTGTGAGACTAATACACATCTGTAGGGGGAATAATCATGGACAAGGTCGAAAATACAGAAGTGAAACTGGCAACGTATTTGATCTATTAATATGCAAAGAACACTTACAACAAATAAAAGATAGGATTAATAGACAAATGTGTAAGGTCTTGAATAGACTTTTGGATAAAGGTAATACAAGTGTCCAGTAACTGTAAAAATGCTTAATTTCATAGCAAAGGTAGTAATTAACCAATTTATTGGGTTAGCAAACATTTTTTAAAATGACAACATTCATTTAACTGTAGTTTGGTGAAATAGACTTACATATTGTTGAGGCATAAAGGAAAGAGTTATACAAACCCTTTGATGACAGTTTGGCTCTATCTCAGCACAAACAGCAACAACAACAACAAAAATTGTTCATACCCTGTGATTCAGAAGTTTTAAGACAAATGTATACAGAATTCAAGACTATTTCTTCAGTATTATTTGTAAAAGCAAAAATGAAACCATGTAAATGGGTAACAGTTAAAAAGCTTATGATACATCCATAATATGGAGTGTTCCATAGTCATTCTATGGAACATGGGTACACTTCTATATGTTGTTATTGGGAAGCTATATGTGCTCAAATAGGAAGATGCTGAAAAAAACAAGTTTTACACGTGGTTACACAGTTGTGGTAAAAATTAATATATTGATATATACATACTTACAGAATAGTTTATGTGTATAAACATTTTTGGAAGAACACACACAGGAAAATTTGCGTGGCTATTTCTGATGACTGGAAGTGCCAGCAAGGCAAGAAAGAGAATTTTACTTTTTATTTTTTAAACTTTTGGAAATACCTGGATTATAATATTACTTTAGTTTTTTTAAAGTGTAAAAATATTAGATACACATGCATAGAAAGAAATGTTTTTTCCTTGTGTGGTTTCTCTCTGTCTGATGTGCCAGTGTGTGCATGACTTTACAAATCCTTGTAGCTTTTATCTAATGCTTTGCATCCATTGCTTTAGGCACAAAATTCCACCCTCAATTGTCTCCTGTATAAGAGACTGTATTAGTTGATTAGCTGCTGGGTAGCTTAGATGGAGAGGGTAGGAATCCTGTGCAAGGGATTGTTTTGAGGATGACCTCAAAAAACAGAGTTATTGAAACCAGAACCATTTGATAAGTTGGGGGCACATCCAGTGTTGATCCCTGAGAATTTCCTAATTAAGAAGTGGAGCACTTAGTCTGTTTTACAGAAACGTGAGAAAGGTTCGTTTGGGCATCAAATATGGTTGTCTAGATTTGGGAGAATCATGAAAATGCCAAGTCATTGTCTGTTATCCCTTATCCAGCGTACGGTCACTTAAAAGGGGATTTCTGTTGCCTGGATTGCTCTATCATAAAGAGTTTCCACTAATCAACACTTCATTAGTGTGACTTTGACACTTTTTCTATTTGCTTCGTATTTGTATGCTTTGCATGCCCAATTAGATTTTATATTTTCTTAGTGTGGGACTGTTTTCCTTTTCTTCATGTTTCTTTCTCTCCCATTATGCTGGGAATTTACTGTTTAATGGTACCAAGCTTTCTTTAGTTTGTCTCTAATATTAACTTCAGATTTGATGCCTTTTAACCTTTGATCCTGTTTGTGATTCTTCTTCCTTAATTTCAACTCTGTTGAGTATGAAGATTGTGTCCTTATCTTCATACTCAAACCAGATGAATCTTCCTCTAGTTTGACTTGGCTTAGACTCCTTTATTAGAATCTTATTACCTAAAAATTAACATCCAGACTTATTAGTGTTTCACTGTTTGGTCCCTGATAACTCTCTCTTTTTATTTCCATTTGTTTTACAAGAGATTTTACTTCTATAAAACTGGTTTTGCTATGGCTCTTCATTTACTTTTATTTATTTATTTATTTATTTATTTATTTAGAGACAGGGTCTCACTTGGTTGCCTAGGCTGGAATGCAGTGGCGCCATCTCTGCTCACTGCAGCCTCTGCCTCCCAGGTTCAACTGATTGTCGTGCCTCAGCCTCCCCAGTAGCTGGGTATACAGGCATGCGCCATCATGCCTTGCTAATTTTTGTATTTTTAGTAGAGATGGGGTTCCACCGTGTTGGCCAGGTTGGTTGCAAACTCCTGACCTCAGCTGATGCATCTGCCTTGGCCTCCCAAAGTGCTGGGATTACAGCCTTGAGCCACTGCACTGAGCTGTGACTGTCATTTCTCTATTATTTCTGGACTCTTCGATCTCTCCTTATGAAACTCACCATACATGACATTGTTTTGTTACTTAATATATGTGTTCTATTTATATTACATTATATTGTTATGTAATAATTACATTTATGTCCTATATGCACAGAAAAATAGTAAATTCCTTAGTGTAAGGAATATGATTTATATTGCTTTGTGTTAGTAGAATCTACTCACAGTCTTGGACTAAAGAGTTCCTGGTAAGTGTTGCTCTATTAACAGTGGTTTAAATTAGATGATAAGATTCATTAGAAATGTAAGACTTGAGAAAAAGTAGAGATTCTATATAAATAATGTTCACTTTAATGAAAGTTTTAATAATCTCCATACACAAATTGGTGCCTTTTACCAATATAAACATTTTATAATTTTTTTACAATAGAATATTTTGGAACATTATTAGATTTATAGAAAAAGTGTGCAGTAGTTGAGTGAGGTCTCCTATACCCTGCTGTCCCTCCATGTTCCCAGTTTCTCCTAGTATTAATATCATGCATTAGCGTGGTATGCTTGTTATATTTCATAAACCAATATGGATACATCATTACAAACAAAAGTCTATAGTTTACACTATAGTTCCTTTTTTGTGTTCTACATTCAATGGGTTTTGACAAATGCATAATGTCATTTATTCATTATTACAGTATCATACAGGTTAGTTTCACTGCCCTAAAAACTCATATTTTCTATCTATTTATATCTCCTTCCACCCCTCAACCCCTAGCAACCCACTTACCTTTTTATTCTCCACATAGTTTTACCTTTTCCAGAATGCCATATAGTTGGAAACACTTAGCAAATCTGCATTGAAGGTTCCTCCATGACCTTCCATGGCTTGGAAGCTAATTTGTTATTACTGAAAAATATTTAATTGTATGGATATACCACAGTTTGTATGCACCTACTGAAGGACACCTTGGTTGTTTGTAAGTTTTGGCAATTATGAATAAAGCTGCTATAAATACTGTTGTGCAGGTTTTTGTGTGGACATAAATTTTCATTTAATTTTGGCATATATATAGGAGTGTGATTGCTGGATCAGATGGTAGGCTAGAGGTGTGATTGCTGGATCAGATGGTAGGCCTAAGTTTAGCTCTGTAGAAAACTGCCAAACTCTCTTCCAAAGTAATTTTACCAATATTCTTTTTCTTTTTAGACAGTCTCGCTCTGTTGCTCAGGCTGGAGTGCAGTGTCACAATCTCGGCTCACTGCAACCTCCGCCTCCCCGGTTCAAGCAATTCTCCTGCTTCAGCGAGTAGCTGGGACTGCAGGTGTGCACGACCATGCCCAGCTAATTTTTATATTTTTAGTAGAGATGGGATTCCACCATGTTTTCCAGGCTGGTCTCAAATGCCTGACTTCAAGTATCTGCCTGCCTCATCCTCGCAAAGTGCTGGGATTACATGCGTGAGCCACCGCTCCTGGCCGATTTTTACCAATTTTCATTCCCTCTAGCAGTGAATGAGAATTTCTATTGTTCCACTTCACCAGCATTTGATGGTGTCAGTATTTTCAGTTATAGCCATTCTAATAGAGGTATCTCATGTTGTTTTAATTTGCAATTTCCTAGTGACATCTGTTATGGAGTATTTTATCCTATGCTTATTTGCCATCTGTGTCTTCTTTGGTAACATCTTTTCATGTTTTTTGCCTATTTCTCAGTTAGGTTGTTTGTTTTCTTGTTGTTTACTTTTAATATTTTGAATTGAGTTGTATATATTGAAGTCTTTTATCAGACATGAGTTTTAAAATGTTTTCTCCCAGTCTTTGACTTTTCTTTTCATTCCTTTACCAGTGTCTATTACAAAGCAGAAGTTGTAAATTTTAATTACAACAATTTTTTAAATTTCATGGATTATACATTTGGTGTGTTCAAAAGTTATCCCCAATCTCAAGGTCACCTGGAGCTTTTCCTGTATTATTTTTTAGATGTCTCATAGTCTTGAGTTTTACGTTAGGTCTACGATTCGAGTTAATATGTATGAAAAGTATAAGTCGTATGTCTAGATTCAATTTTGCATGTGGATGTTTTGTTCTATCACCATTTGTTTTTTATTACAAATGGTAAACAAGTTGGGTAAAGAGTATTTTTTTTTTTTTGAGACATGGTCTCACTCTGTCAGCTGGGCTACAGTGCAGTAATGCAGTCATGGTTCACTGCAGCCTCAATCTCCTGGGCTCAAGCAATCCTCCTGTGTAGTTGGGACCATAGGTGTGCGCCACCATGCCCAACTAATTTTTTTATTTTTAATTATTGTAGAGACAGGGTCTCACTTCATTGCCCAGGCCGGACTTGAATTTCTGGGGTTAAGTGATTCTCCGTGTTTGGCCTCCCAAAATGCCAGGATTATAGTAGTGAGCCACCACATTTGGCCTACAGTAAGTCTTGAAGTTAAGTAGTGTCTGTCCTTCAACTTTATTTTCCTTCAGTATTGTGTTGGCTATTCTGAGTCTTTTACCTTTTCAAATAAACATTTGAATTTGTTAATGTCTACAAAATAATCCACTGGTGATTTCATGGAGATTGTGTTGAATCTACAGATAAAGTTGGGAAAAACTAACTTCTTAATATTGAGTCTTCCTATTCATGAACATGGATTAACTCTCTATTTATTTAGATATTCTTTGATTTCTTTCATCAGTATTTTGCGGTTTTCCTCATATCTGTTTCATACATATTGCATTAGATTTATAGCTAAATTTTCTTTGATGTGTGTGTAATAATATAAATAGTGTTATGTTTTTAATTTCAAATTACATTTTTTTGGTGCTGAAATATAAAAAATAAATGGACTTTTATATATTAACTTTGTATCCTGCAACCTTGCTATAATTACTTAACAGTTCCAGGAAATTTTGTTTTCAGGTTTTGCAATTTTCTGCATAGACAATCAAGTCATCCGAAAATTCAAGGGTCTTATTTCTTTCTTTTCTGTCTGTATATCTTTAATTTCCTTTTCCTGTCTTGTTGGATTAGCTATGACTTTTGGTACAATGTTGACTAGAAGTGGTAAGAAAAGACATCTTTGTTTTGTTACTGTTTTGGGAAAAATTATCTCTTTTTTTGAACATTAAAGTAGGATATTGGCTCTAGGTATTTTTGTAGACTTTTTTTTTTGTCAGGGAAGTTCCCTTTTATTCCTAATTTTGCTGAGAGTTTTTATCATGAAAGTATGTTGAATTTTTTTCAAATGCTTTTTCTGCATTTATTGATATGATCATGTAATTTTTCCTCTTTAGCCTGTTAATGTGATAGATTACATTAATTTATTTTTCAATGTTGAACCAGTCTTACATATATGAAATAAATTTCACTTGGTTGTGGTGTACAACATTTTTATACATTGTTGGATTCAATTTGCTAATATTTTACTGAGAATTTTTAGAGAGATATTGGTGTAATTTTCTCTTTTTTGTAAAGTCTTTCCAGGTTTTAGTATTAGGGTAATGCTGGCCTCATAGAATGACTTAGTTATGAGAAGTGTTTCCTCCTCTTCAATTATTTTTTGCAGAGCCGGTAGTGAATTGGTATCATTTCTTCATCAAATGTTTCATAGATTTCACCAGTGAAACTACTGGCCCTTGAGCTTTCCATTTTGGGGAAGCTATTATTTGATTTCAGTTCTTTATTCAAAGGATGTATTCCTCCATGTGTGAGTTTTGGTAAAGTATTTTTTCCAAGAATTTGTCCATTTCATCTAAATTATCGAGTTTATGGGCATATAATTGGTCACAGTGGGGGATCAGTTGTGATGGCCCAGCCCCTTGTTTATTTCTGATGTAATTTCCATTTTAGTATTTTTTTACATATATATTTGGTTGCTCTATTTTTATGTTCAATGTCTTATTATTGAAGACACAAGGCCAATCACAAAGACTACACGATTAATTCCTCTCTTATTTGGCTTTACCTATTGTTTCTGAGATGTGTTTTCTCTACACAATAACAATTTGAAAAACCATGGTTTAATAAAACCTGCAGAGGCACTACTGTTTTTTGTTGTTTGTTTGTTTTTTTGAGACGGAGTCTCGCTCTGTCACTCAGGCTGGAGTACAGTGGTGGGATCTCGGCTCAGTACAACCTCCGTCTCCCAGGTTCAAGTGATTCTCCTGCCTTAGCCTCCGGAGTAGCTGGGATTACAGGCACCCACCACCACCCCCGGCTAATTTTTGTATTTAAGTAGAGACAGGATTTCGCCATGTTGGCCGGGCTGGTCTTGAACTCCTGACCTCAGGTGATCCGCCCTCATCGGCCTCCCAAAGTGCTGGGATTACAGGCGTGAGCCATGGCACCCGAACTGAGGCACTACTTTTTTATTCATTCATGTATTTGATCAAGTATTTATTGAGTACCACAATTTATATTATTTCTGTAGGAGAGAGAAAAGATTTATTAAACTTAAAAGCCAGAAAAAAAAGGCAGAACAGGTATTTCAGAAATAGGTACTCTTGGAAACCTCAAAACAAGTAAAGCATTTATAAAGGTGAAACTGGAATTTAGCAGAAAACCTCCAATTTGACATTTTATAAGATATACTTACTAGCATATTGTAAATACGAAGCATTCTTCTGTAAATTGTGGAGCAAAAGAGTTAGGAGACATGAGTTTGTAACTAACTTTGCCACCTTTTCTAGCTGTGTGATACTAGGCGGGTCAAAATTTGTTTGGGTCTGGGATATTTCAGAAGATCTGTATGATTTTCTTTTAGTTCTGTGGGATTCTGATTCTAATTGCATCTAACATAATTACCAAAGAGGTGAACAGAGTAATAAAAATGTAAGGAAGAATATGCACATTGTAGCTTTAAACTTGTTTCAGTTTTCCTTTTTTCCTTTCTCATTTTTTCTTCTTTCTTTTTCACTCCTTTCTGTCTTTTCTTCCTCCTTTTTCCTTTAATTTCCTTTTACAACATCTGTTTTCTTACCTCCTTTCCTGCTCTGCTTTTTAATGTGGGGCTGTTACTTCTACATAAAGAATCAGTACTTCATATTCAAGGCTATAGACAGGTTTCCAAGTCGTGAGTTAAAGCTTACAACACCAGTTTAATTCCCAAGGTTAGCCAGGTAAGGAGAGAAGATTTTACCTGTCACTTTTGCTAGAGCAATACCCAGTTCCTGTTTTTCTAGCAATGGTGTATGTATGTATATATATATATATACACACGTATATATATATATATATATATACACACGTATATATATATATATACACACACACGTATATATATATATACACACACGTATATATATATACACACACGTATATATATATATACACGTATATATATATACACGTATATATATATATAAACACATATATACGTGTATATATATATATATTTTTTTTTTTATAAGCTCTCACTCTGTCGCGTAGACAGTAATGTATTGGTGTAATCAAACTCCTGGGCTCAGGAGATTCTCTCGCCTCAGTAGCTGGTACTACAGGCAGTCAACATTGCCCCGACTGATTTTTTTTAATTTTTATTTTTGTAGAGATGGGGTTTCACTTTGTTGTGCAAGCTTGTCTCAAACTCCTGGCATTCAACTAATCCTCCCATCTTGGCCTCCCAAAGTGCTAGGACAACAGGCTTGAGCAACCATGCCCATCCTAGCAATGGGATTTTTTTTTCACACTCAGCAATAAATGTTTTAAGTGGAGGTGCACTGACTATAGTTGCGGTTGCCTCAGCCTTTTATATTACCATTAGAAGGTTGTTTTTATGCTCAAGCTACTGCAGGTAAAGAGTTTGGTTCTATTCTCTAAGTCTTTTTGCATTAGAGTAAATATATAAGATTATAAAGGCATTCTACATTAGAGTAAATATTACAAGTATGTGCATTAGAGTAATTATTTATACACGTTATGAAGTTGGTGAAACTGTCGGTAGGGTACAAGACTTATGGGCTTTACGTAACAGTGGCCCAAACAGTTTGTAGCTTCAAGAAAGATGTTTACAGTTTATGGATCCCAGCGATGCATGTCTATAGTCACACCTATTCAGGAGGCTGAGGCAGGAGGAGCACTTGTGCCTGGGGTTAAAGACAAGCTTGGGCAACACAGTGAGACCTCCCATCTCAAAAAATAAAATAAGGCTAGGTGCGGTGGCTCACACCTGTAATCCCACTGCTTTGGGAGGCCGAGGTGGGTGGATCACGAGGTCAGAAGATCAAGACTATCCTGGCTAACACGGTGAAACCCCATCTCTACTAAAATACAAAAAAATTAGCCAGGTGTGGTGGTATGTGCCTGTAGTCCCAGCTACTCGAGAGGCTGAGGCAGGGGAATCCCTTGAACTCTGGAGGTGGAGGTTACAGTGAGCCGAGATTGCACCACTGCACTCCAGCCTGGAGACAGAGCGAGACTGTGTCTCAAAAAATAAAATAAAATAAAATAAAAAGGTAACATAAAATAAAAATTAAAAAGATATTTACAATTTGTAAAATATTTCATTCGTTTTTATCTGGGAAGAAATAAGATATAATTTTCTAAGGCTTCTCAGGCCTGTGCTTCATAGGTGGAAGCATTACATGTTCTGGTTTGCCAGGGATGGTTGATACGTTTATGCCCACAGTCCTGCCATATTTGTCGATAAAGCCTCCTTTTCATCTCACAAGTGTCTCCTTTGGTAGATAAATTATATTATTCCTGCTTTCGTAGACAATCATGAATTTCAATAAACTATTTCTTGGCTAGGAGCAGTGGATCATTCCTATCATCTCAGCACTTTGGGAGATGGAGGCAGGTGGATCACTTGAGGTCAGGAGTTCAAGACCAGCCTGGCCAATATGGTGAAACCCCATCTCTACTGAAAAAAAAAAAAATTACCAAAAGTTAGCTGGGCGTGGTTGTGCACACCTGTAATCTCAGTTTCTTGGGAGGCTGAGGCAGGAGAATTGCTTGAACCTGGAGGTAGACATTGCAGTGAGCCGAGATTGCATCATTGCACTCCAGCCTGCGGTACAGGGCAAGACTCCATCTCAAAAAAAATAAATAAATAAGTAAAAATAAAAAAGAAACTACTTCTCGTATGGATTAAATAAGGCACAGTTTGATGGCGTATCTTGGGGACATTTTTGTTGTTCAAAACACAGAACTGCTCATTTTCGTGAACTGGGTTCATCAATTTGAAATTTAGGTGACAAAGTAAACTGCTTCTTGAAAAGGCTTGATCCTTGTTGAAAATCAGCCTGATTTAGGAAGGAGTGGAACTTTTGGCTGAGTTTTACCGGGAACATAACTTGTTGAATTTATAGGAATAAAGATGCATTTTGTTTGATTTGGCAACTCCTCGACTGCAATTCATTGAAAATCGTAAAGTTTTGAAACTATGAGCCACGACTGTGTTACTTTAGCACACTGCTTGGTCCCTTCAGGTGTGGGGGTAAAGGTCAATGGGCTTTTGGCTGAGTGAATGATGCTTGGGTAACAGAAAACAATTGCAAGAATGTTCAGAGGGTATATTTCTTTTCCATAAAAAAAAATCTGAAACCCTCATATTTGTGAGGAATCTTAATTTTATTTTCATTTAAGTAAAACTACGAATTCAAATACATTCAAATGATTGAATAATTGATCATTACAAGGAAAAGATACAAATGAAAACCTATTAAGAAACAAAAAGAAACTATGCATCTGAAATGCATAGATGAAATGTTATCCAGTTAAAATGTTTTCTTGGCTGGGCGCAGTGGCTCACGCCTGTAATCCCAGCACTTTGGGAGGCCGAGGCAGGCGCATCACTTGAGGTCAGGAATTTGAGATCAGCTTGGGTAACATGGTGAAACCCCATCTCTACTAAAAATACAAAAATTAGCTAGGGGTGATGGCACATGACTGTAATCCCAGTTACTTGGGAGGCTGAGGCAGGAGAGTCGCTTGAACCCGGGAGATGGAGGTTGCAGTGAGTTGAGATCACGCCATTGCACTCCAGCCTGGGCAACAAGAGTGAATCTCCATCTCACAAAAAAATAAGATAAAATAAAATGTTTTCTCCAAATACAGTCAACATAGAAGCATTAAAATTTTTCCTGACTTCACAATATAGAGTGCATTCGTTTTGGGTGAAATGAAGGTAACACTGTGGCTCCTTGTACTAGTCAGTTCTCACATTGCTATGAACAAATACCCGAGACTGGGTAATTTATAAAGAAAAGAGGTTAAATTGATTCACAGTTCTGCAGGGCTGGGGAGCCTTTGGGAAACATACAAACATGACAGAAGGTACCTCTTGACAGGGTGGCAGGAGAGAGAATGGGTCAGAGCGAAGGGGAAAGCTCCTCATAAAACCATCAGAACTTGAGACAACTCACTATCAAGAGAACAGTATGGGGGAAACTGCCCCCATGATTCAATTATCTTCACCTGATCCTTCCCTTGACACATGGGGATTATTTCAGTTCAAGGTGGGGACAAAGAACTGAACCATATCACTCTTCTCATAGCATCCTAGCTTACTGGGCTCCAGAGACACTTCCTTCTCCCTGTGTGTGGGATACCCTTGTCTCCCTTTAACTCAGGACTTTAGTACTATAGAATTTGCTATTCTTTCTGCTCTCATCACATGAATAGCTCTTTTCTGTCACTGAATTCCCGGCTCATATGTGTCCTCAGACACTATCCAATCTAAAGCAACTGGCCTGTTGCTGGGCAAAGTGGCTCATGCCTGTAACTCCAGCACTTTGGGAGGCCAAGGCAGGTGGATCACGTGAGGTCAGGAGTCCGAGATCAGCCTGGCCAACATGGTGAAATGCAGTCTCTACTAAAGATACAAAAATTAGCTAGGCATGGTGGTGCACGCCTGTAATCTCAGTTACTCAGGAGGCTGAGGTGGGAGGATTGCTTGAACCTGGGAGGTAGAGTTAGCAGTGAGCCAAGATCACACCACTCCACGCCATCCTGGGCGACAGAGTGAGACCGTGTCTCAAAAAAAAAAATTTAAAAAAAACCATAAATAAATAAAACAACTGCCGTATCACTCTCCATCCCTCTGTCTTATTTTCTTTCAGCAGGGAAGTCTATTTAGATGTATCATTCAATTAATTTGGTTCCTTTTAATGTTTCTCCTGTTTCCCCCACTAGCAGGTATTGTTCATGAGAATGAGGTCTTTCTTGCTTCTTGTACACACTGCTATATCCCAAGGACCCATAGAAGAACCCGGCTGTAGAAACTACTGTAATGTGATTTGTGAATAAATGATACTGTTTTATTAAGTGGACACTCATATATAAAAAGATGGAGCATCTGTAGATTGTTTAATGGTCCGATTATTGTGTGGGTTGCTGGAACTTCTTGTGTCAATTTTGTAACTTAAATTGTGCTGAACTCGTCAAATCGTCATAAATCAATTAACCTTGAGGATAATATAATACAGTGAAGTGTAATTTTTTTACTTTGACGTACAATAAACGTGTTCTGTTGATGTTCTACCATTCCCTGATGAAGAGGTATGCCTACCATTTAAGCCAAATACAAAATAGGAAAATTCGATACCACAGTTTACACTACATGACTTTGTTTTTCCTGAATAAATCTTATTTCTGCTAATATAAATGAAAAAAATAAAAACAATGAGACCCTTTTCTAAGCAACTGTTATGCTGATTATACTACAAAATTATCACTACAAACTGTATACTACAAAAATATGAATATTGAAGGTGAAATACACAACTCTCATGGTGGACGTAATGTAGAAGAATACGTTTAAATTTGAGTGTCAAGATAGTACTGTTTTGAGCTAGAATAACCAGCTCAATTCCTGATGAGAAGTACAAATGACTCAGAGAAGTCGGTACTGTGGCTAATGCTTACAAGTGTGTGTATTTGTGACTTTCAGTGAGAGGCAACTCTTCTTAAAATCTATACAAATGTTCTTTATCATGTCACCTATGTCAGAGAAAACCTAGTATTACCTTTTTCAAGTCACAGAGAAGTGATTTCATTGATTTTTTTTATTATGGCTGCAGCTGATGGACTACTAAGGAGGAGGGCCAGGGTCCAACTTTGTGTTTCTATGATAATGGACTAGACACTTTCAGAAAAGTTCTAATGACGCCCTAGGGAGTGTGATACTAAAAGCGTGTATTTGTCATATGTGGCTGCCAGCGATCTGCAAACAATTTCCAAAAGACATTTTGCATATCCAAGAGTTATTTGGATGCCTACACATCTGTTTTCCTGTTAGTAGTATTAGCAAATAGTTTTAAGTGGGTCTGCTTTAAATAGTTGAAAGCTTTTCCATTCTCAAGAAGCCCAGACAATGCATGTGATGAGTATCTCAATTATTTTCCATCAGGATGAATTTTACAGGGTTTGATCAATGTGTAATAGAGAGATATTAAAATAAGATTGTGAAATATTTAAAATATGATTTTCTTGGTTCTTTTGAAGTATGGAATTTTAAAAGTCATATTAAGAAGATCACCAAGGATATTTTAAAATTGACAGTTGTTTTCTCTTACATCTGAAGTATCCAGATGTTAATATACAAAACAGATTTTAAAGAATTTATTTTCTTTCTCCTTGTACAAAGCAATGGATATTCATTTAATATGTAAATGAGAAATTTTCTCCCATCACTTTTATGATTTAATACTCAGGCTAGCTAGCTGTTGTTAAAATTTTTCCCACTTCCAAATTACTATAAATACAAATTAAACATTTTAAAATAGCAGTAGTAATAAATACACATTTATATGTAACTATTAAACATCAAGATAAAAGTTTTCTGTATCCCATATTAATTATGGAGTTCTAAGGATTGATTATACTGTAGTACTGATTCTAGAATTCTGGCATGTTAAGATTCAGAAAAAACAAGACTTAACCCTTCAGTGAAGCAGATAGCTAAACTAATGGTTAGAGAATTAAAAGACATGTCTAAGGTTATAGAGTCACTGAGTCTCACATGATTTATGTTCCATGACTGTAAGACCAGCGTTTTCACTGACCGTATTATGCTGTTTTTTTATATAGCTGTTTTTAGTGTAGTGTGTATAAACAACAGTGCTTTAAAATTAGAGTGGCCAGGCACGGTGCCTCATCCTATAATTCCAGGACTTTGGGAGGCCGAGTCATGTGGATCGCTTGAGCCCAGGATTTCGAGGCCAGCCTGGGCAACACAGTGAAACCCCGTCTCTACAAAATACACAAAAAATTAACTAGGCATAATGGTGTGAGCTTGTAGTCCCAGCTACTTTCGAGGCTGAGGTGGGAGGATCACCTGAGCCCAGGATGTGGAACCTGCAGTGAGCCGTGATCACAACACTGCACTCCAGCCTGGTTGACAGAGTGAGACCCTGTCTCTAAATAAATAAATATTAAAAATAAATTAGGAGTCCTCTTATTGAACTTTTGCTATAATGTCTATAACAATGGGTCTCAGATTTTAAAGGTGTGTATAAAGATTACATCAGGTCCTTATTTAAATTGGAAATTTTTTTAGTTCCATCTCCAGCAGATCTGTGGAAGGATGTGTGATAGAATTTGAATTTCCACTTTTAACACGGTGCTTTGGTGATTCTAATTTTTTGGCATACACTTTGATTCTGCACATTAATTTTATGGCATCTCTCAAGCCTAAGGCATGCATATAGAATAAAATCTTACATGGCATTGAATGATTAAGTCTTCCAGAATGATGAGGATTTCTAAGGATATAAGTGAATGTAAAAAGTAGTGAAAAATACACATTTTCTTGTAAGGTTCAGAAGAAAAGTCTTGGTTTAATTGAATTATCTTAGTCAAAAGTTTGTTGAGCCAGGTGTGGTAACACACACTATTAGTCTCAGCTACTCAGGAGGCTAAGTTGGGAGGACCACTTGAGCCCAGAGTTGCAGGCCAGCCTGGGCAACATAATGAGGGCCCATCTGTAAAAGAAAAATAAATAAAAGTTTGTTTACAGTGTATAACCATCTACCATCTATCCTGGCCAAAAAAATATAAAGAAAAGTCTATTTAAGATTACTCTACCAGTTCAAGTATGTCTGTGGTAATAAAGCAAAACATTTAATATAAAAACAGGTAATTAGATTACTCCATTTTCATTCTAAATATGTAACTGTCAGTCAAGTAGATGCCATAAAATTAATGTGTAGAATCAAAGTAATCAGTCTCAATTGTTCAAGGAAAAATCCAGGTCACTTGTCACCCTCAATAAAGAAAGATGCACAGATTGTATTTTGGCTGCTTAGCGTTTCCCTTGGAAGATTATAATTTTAATTTTCTAGCCGCTTAGATTAACTGGGCAACCTTTCACTCTTGAGATTTCCACACACCTGTTTGGCATGAAAACAAAAATGATAAGAGATGGTGAGATTAGTCCCAAACTAGGTGTTTTATCGACTCACACATCATTAACCATCTATTTGCTTCCTATCAACGCTTGGCTTTACCTTCCTACTTCCCACCTGCTGGAGACCTTCCAGATGGAAGTCTTGATTAATCAGTTTCTCTGGCTCTTAATCTTCATCTTAATTACTAACATGAGAGCATAGGTTTCTTCCTTTTAGGAATATGCTTGTGTTTGAATTGCGTTTCTAGAAGTAGGGACCTTTGGTTTGGATTTGTTCCCTCCTGGGTGCAGCCCTATGGGCAGCCTGATTGGACATGACTTAGAGCTCTTTGTTCTCTAGCATTCTCTGAGCTTCCACACCCAGGGGTGTTGCCAGATATCAGCATGAAGCTGAAATATGGAAAAAATGCATAGGTATTAGGCTCAGAAACCATATTCAGGATGATTTAAGTCAAACCTCAAGTGTTAATTTTAAAGATTAAGCAGTATGGTTTGGCCAAAATACATGGTATTTTTTGTTTACCTTTACTACATGTCTTAAAACTTTCAGATCAGTATGTGAGTAAATGGGAAAATTGTAACAGACTAAATTTGCTTCTTGTGGATGTCATGACCTTTGTCTATGAACTGTAACATTCAACCAGAATTTTTCTCTAAGAAACAAATTTCCATTTTTAAGGCACTTTGTCAGTAACTGAAAAGTTGGCAAAAAGAATATGTTGACTGATAACATACAAGGTAATATCAAAAGTTTCAAACAGTTTTTACTACTTTGGTTAAGCCACAGACTTTGAATTTAGATGATCTGATAACCGTATTATCTCACACAATATGTTTGACCTATATTTAGTGAAAAAATGCCTACATACTTGATTGTTCTTTCTCATTAGTCTTCTCTGAACACAGTATTAACTGAGCAATAAGTTCATCCATCAGTTAAGACCACATCACTCTATTTTGACAGCTATATTGAAACAATATGATCCACACCAGTAGCTAAGCTGTATTGAGTACTTACTGTGTACATGACGCAGCTGTAAGCACATTCTGTTCATGTCCTCAGTCCCCAAAATACACTTAAGAGATGAGTTTTAGGATTATGAGCTGTGGCACACACAGATTAAGTAACTTGCTGAAGGCCAAGCAGGTAAAAAGTACCAAGTTTGTGAATGGCTTGGAGCTAGAGTTCTTGATTATATGCATTTTATTTCCCAATCTTTACTATAAACTCGATGAAAGTTAATTTTCCATCCAGGTTTTTGACATGAGGAGTATCACTGTATGGTAAAACTTCATTTTTTGGAAAGTCTCATTAAAAAAAAGAATATAGGAGAGCTACTGTACAGCAGCCTTCAGATTTTTAGAGGAGCATATTTTAAGAAATTTATCTTAAATTCAAGAAGTATTTAGTTGTCCATGTCCCAGTCAGACAGGAGAAATCTTGAAATTATCATTACACTCATTTGAACATGTTAAAATCTATTTATTTCTGTTCTACTTAATATAATAGCAATGGAGACAAAAGAGACTGAGAAATCAAAGAAATGAATATTAACTAGTGTTGGTTTTACTCATCATTTTTATATCGAATCATTAGACTATAGTATATCCAGGTTAGTAATATGTGCTTGTCTCTAAGATTAGGCATTTATAATATATAACTATGGCCATAAACCAACATTTTAACGTTAGACTTTCAGTAAGTTGGAGATCGTTTTTTCCACTGCTAATAGCAATAAAATGTGTTGCTCATTAATATCTTCTATGCAAATAAGTTTAGTTAAAGGATGGTGTTTACTGTTATGAACATTAGGAGCACCTATGACTACGTGACGTCATTAAATTCTAAGGAAAATGAGAAATTTAAAATACTGGCTCTTACCTATAATTTCTAAAAGGAAAGCTAAAACAAACCATTATTTGTTTGCAATTGTGGTGCAAAGGCCATGTGAGTTGGGCCTATTTATCTGATTGTTTTCTGGAGCACATGATGTGTTTTATGATACACTGATGGTTTAGCGACTGACCAATCTGTAAGAATGATGTCTGTGCCTCATGGTAGACGAATAAAAGAGGCTTATATAAGTGCAGGGGGAAAGGGTGTCTTATCAGCAAGGGACAACAGTTTTCTCATCTGGGCTCTATTCTTTTTTAGAGAGGAACTTAGGAGTTCCTAGCTTTAAGTCTCAAATGTCAAGTTTATGAGAGCATCTTTTATTTAAACAATTCTACACACTGATGTTTATTCAAGAATTAACATCTCCATTTATATAAAGTACATGTATTGCAGTTGTGCTTTTTTGAACAAGTTGTGGCAAAATTATTTACTGTAGAGAAACACATTAAATTTTTCTGAAGTGGTTACAGAAAAATATGTTAATATTTTAAAATACAATACCTTTGAGCAGAATTAATGTAATTGGACAGTAGAAAATTAAATAATTTATTAAATGCCATAGACATTTAATAGACAACTTCCTTTAAAGGACATATTCTTATGTCATAGATGAAAGAGCTTGAATCTCAGTTTTAACGCTTACTGCGTGTGTAAATGTAGGCACATTCTTAACTAATCTCAGTTACCTTTTGTAAAACATAGGTAATCAATAATATGATCAAACACCAAAAAATATAAAGTATCATGCATATTGCACTGCCTATGAATACTCAGAAAATGGTAATTTTGTGCTTTCAGATCCTTTTTCTATTCAGTATGATTGGTGATTTGAGACACACTTACATTATTCCTTTTCTGCTTTGTTAATGTGGAGTGAGAGAGAGTCAGAAATGACATATGAGGTATATAGTAATGGTGGTTACTAAAAAATAGCATTTTACATGCATGTTTATACAGAAAAATAAAGCCTCACGTTAATTTACATGGTAAGTAGTAAGACAGCTTAATACATGCATACTATGCCTTATATATTCTTAATGGAATGTTTTTAGATTATGATAGCTTATTTGCAGAGAATTTCTTCATACTATGAGTAAACTTAAGGAGTTGACTCTTGTTTCATTCTTTGAAGCTTTACTTAATCATATGTTAATACTAGGTTAGCTGAACCCACATAAAAAGGAGACTTACATAATGAATAATTAAATACAATATCTGAAAACAAAATCAATCTTATTAAATAAACACTGTCATTTTTTTCGACAAGCTCTTTAGTACACCCATGTCTAAGAGATTTATTCTCAATGACACTTCAGTGGTCACAACTTTATCCGCAAATGCTTTGAAATCAGTTGAGCTTTTGTCTATTGGCAGAAATGCATTAAGCAGCTAAAATTTTCAAAAACGTGCCAAAACCAACGTGGGGAATGAAATCAGCGTTCGAGATGTTGTTAGTCTGCCATATTTCTGTCTTTATAGCAGGGATATTGACGTTAACATCACATATGTAGATATCCCAACATGCACATGGAACTGTGCTGAGATGTACACAGGAAATACTAGAAAAGTCACACATCATCTCCAACATCAGATTGAAATGTTCCTGAGCCTCTTAATGCAAAATCTACTGTAGTAGATTTTGGTCGAACTTTACTATATCCAGCAGAGTGACATGAGTTGACAATTTTGTAGCACTGGTTATGTGTTGGGTACCTTTAATCTCTATAGTCATCCTATACAGTAGGTTTTATTATCTTCATTTTAGGGACAGGGTAACAAAAGTACGGAGAGGGTATGTGATTTACTTAATTCTACAGTCATGGCAGAAAGCTTAGGACAAATGTGAGCTAAATCTCATGTGTGAATTCAAATCCCATGTTCTTCTGTGTCATGTCATCTCTTGAGAAGATGAGCTGATTAATCATTTCCTTTTCACCAAAACTTGCCTATAGTCAATGAAAAGGATGCCTTCTTTATATGTGAAATGTACAAGGTAAGATATTCAGAATAGTTGAAGTCTTCCTTGACTGAAGTTTCCACCTGGCTGGAAAAATGGATCAAGATTACTCCAGAAAGACAATGCAGAGAGAAAAAAATAATTTGCTTCAGTGAGTTGTAAAGAATCCTTATATTTGAAAATATTCCAGGTCCACAAAGCAGTTGAGAAATAAGTAAAAATTTGGGAGGATGTAATTTTTAAAAAAAAGCAGAATTATTTTTTCAATTACAGAATTTTTAAATTGACAAATAGTAATTGTATATGTTTTTGAGGTATAATTTGCAGCTTCACTATGTACACATTGTGAAATGATCAAGTCAGGTCAATTAGCTGATCTATCACTTCAAATATTGCATTGTGGAAGAGAAGATGGAACAAGGATTAATATGATTAAACTGTACAAGACATATGTTCAGATACATATTCAATAGGTATTGAATCAAGGGCATGGAAAGAAAATACTTGGAAACATGGAAAAAACATACTTTCCATGTTTAGATGCACTCACCTCTAAGAGGAGCTGATTGGAATAAGGTATGCGAATGGTCTTTTCCAAACCCAAGCTTATGTGTCTTTAGCAACCACGTTGTAGTTTTCGGAGTATGCAAGAATATTTTCCTGATTTCTGAACACAGAGACATAAGGAGAGATTGTTATATTGTTCAGATATTGCTGCAAGAAGCATCTTTCAATTTACCCTAGAATTTTAATATTTTGCTTGTTAGAATGTGCCCTTTTAAATTTACCACTCTTGTTAAATAGTATTCTTTATCTGAAGAATGCTAATTAAGTTTAGATTTTATTATGCAATATCCATGGAAATCGATTACATTTCACAAAATCACCAGGCTCTAGAAGCAAATGTTTATTAATTAAAAATAACACGGAAAGTATGTTCTTAAATGCAGAAGAATATAATTCCATTCCGGAACAGCAGATAAAGGGAACATCAGAAACCCACATTTTGTAGCATTCATGGTTTTTGTACCCAACAGGAGGGTAGGTGATGATAGGTGGGAGAAATATCCACAGGGGTATGCAGACAAGAATGACAGAGGGCTGCCTCTGAAGGTGTGTTGACTTGGCAAAATGTAGACAGGAGTCCCTTGTCAGAAGAATGGTGGATTCATATCTAGCGTAGATGTGTGGGCAAGAGAGGAAAAAAAGAGTAGCAAAGTTGGTGGGTAGAATATCCAGGAGAAATCAAGCAAAATAAAATGTACATTATAGTTCAACTTGTTCTGGAACTAATTTTTTAAGGAGGGATTATCTGTCAGGTGTTATTTCCTTGCCATGGCCAAGCTGTCAGGTTACCTACAGATTCTGGGTTAGACTGAGCTGATATTGACATGTCATATCCCACATCCTCCTGTTTTAGTGAAATTGACAATGCCACTCCTGGGGAATTTATTTCCTTATTTTTGGAACCTGGAAAGAAGGCTTTTTGTTTTGTTTTCCTGATGAATGGACCCATCGTGTACTGCAGTCTTAGATTTCAGCACGTGTGTCTAAGAGTCTTCTACATGATCACCTTTACTGATCATTGCCCCTTTCTGTAAGTCAAAGGTAATTTACTCATTTAAGGTGCTAGGCATTGAGGGGATTAATAGAAAGTTCGAATGGGAAGTAAAAATGAGAGCATAGAAGTTAAGGATGTTAAAATTAACTGTGAGTAGGGTTTGGATTTTGTTGTTAAATAAACCTGGGTCAAATATTAGCTGCACCTCCTATTGGCTGTCTACATTTGTCAAAGTTATTTAACTCTCTGAGGCCTCATTTTCTTCATCAAAGCCAGGATAATTGACTGCATAGATCTCCTGGGGTTATTTTGAGGATAAAATTAGATAATGTGTATCTATCAAATTACATGGTCACTTGGCAAATAGTAGGTGGAGCACATAATCATAATTATTGCCACTGAATTATACTGACTATTGCTAATGGAGCTAAGAGAAAGAGGGGAGGCATTTGGTGTGGTTTCATAAGATAAAGTCAGTCTTCAACTTATCAATGTTAGATATTGGGGTTCTGCTAAGTGAAACTCACATATATGAGAGTCCAGTAGCCAAAAATATGTTCTTACACTAGACATAGGATCCTGATTTCTTTTCTTTCTTTCTTTCTTTTGTTTGTTTGAGATGGAGTCTCACTCCATTGCCCAGGCTGGAGGGCAGTGGCATGATCTTGGCTCACTGCAACCTCTGCCTCCCAGAATCAAGTGATTCTCCTGCCTCAACCTTCCGAGTAGCTGGGACTACAGACATGCATTACCACGCCCAGCTAATTTTTGTATTTTTAGTGGAGACAGGGTTTCACCATGGTTCACCAGGCTGGTCTCGAACTCTTGACCTCAGGTTATCCGCCAGCCTCGGCCTCCCAAAGTGCTGGGATTACAGGCGTGAGCCACCGTGCCTGGCTAGGATCCTGATTTTTTGGGAAGTATTCTAATATTGCTAGCTTTATTACTTTGAATAACTTATTTAATGTCTTCGCACATTTATTTTGTTCATCTGAATAAGCAGTGACATGTAGTCAATAATCTCTGTGGTGTTGTAATTCATATCAGACATAAAATGATTAATGTCTCAATATAGACTGAATTTTAAAATTGTCTTTAAATGCATCATAGAAATACTTATCAGAAGATGTCAATGATATCTATAAAGGACATAGAACAGTGACCACGGACAATATTGATCTGAAGAACATTAACAGACATATGCCAGTCAGAATTCCATATTTTTCTTGAAAACAGAACTACTTGTTTGGAGATTTACCACGTAAAATTTTAAACCAGGCAGATAATCAGTTTCTACAATTTTTCAAAAGACATGGTATACATTTTCAACTGTGTTCTAATGGTCATGAGAATAATTTGTGATGAGTACATTAATTTTTTGCAAAATGATAACTGAATGTAAAGGACTAGAACGCAGCAATCTTAAAAGTCAAGGACCATGAAACATGGGGAAGAATTTAACTTTTTAAAACAATCAAGTTCTTGGCCAGGTGCAGTGGCTTATACCTGTAACCCCAGCAATGAGGTGGGAAGACTGTTTGAGCCCAAGAGCTAGAGACCAGCCTGGGGAACGTAGGGAGACCCCATCTCAAAACAAAACAAGACAAAACAACAACAACAAAAAACCCAAAAAACAGCAGACGCCAAAACAATTAGCTGGACATGAAAGCACATGCCTGTGGCCTCAGCTACTCTGGAGGCTGAGGTGGGAGGATTGCTTGAGCCTGGGAGGTCAAGGCTGCAGTGAGCTGTGATAGAACCACTGGACTCCAGCCTAGGTGACAATGAGATACTGTCTCTAATAATAATAACAACATTGAATTAATTTCTCATATATAGAAATAGCAAAAAAGTTATTACTTTAATAAAGCAGTAAACACATATGTTAACTAGATTCCCATGTTTATAGAGGCCATTTTAGGAGAATTAAAGGAAATTTTTAATTTGGCAAATAATTTACCTTAGATATTTTGTTTAATGAAAAAAGTTTAGGCTATATGAATTATATGTGTTGAAATCGGTGATACCGTTATTCTAAGGAGAGATGATCTGTTTATATGCTATTTCTACATTGATTATAAGGTTTATAATTTGTTTTAACTTTTATTAAAAACATGGGAAATTAATAGATTTGTAATTAACCAGAGAAAGGTGGGAAATTGATATGAATGTTTATAATCTGTAGGTCTCTTAGTTTCATTTTACAATTCCAATTTCCTTGGGCATCTGTCAGTCTATTTTGTGTTATTCTGTTTGTGTTAAGATCTATCTCCTTGTACTGGTAGATATTTCATTTGAACACGACTATTAGTTCATAAGCTATAGATACATGAGCATTCCTGTTTTCATGCAGAAATTTGTCTGTAGTAAATTCAATGAATAAAGAAGGTAAAATCAGACTGTGAAATCTAGTGCTTTGATCTGCAGTTTAGAAAAAAAAATGCTAGAAAATTGAATACTGTCTAAGTGAACCTTTTGTACGTAAACAGTCTTCGAAGTCAGCCTTTCAAAGTAAGGTCATTTTTAGATATGACAGGAAGTCAACTGAGCAATAATGAAAGAACTGTTGCTTTATTCAATTATAGCTCCATTAATGGTTCTTTAGGTCATATTGACTTAATAAGAAGGTAGGAAGGAAAACAACCTCAAAGTAACAAAGGTCCTCTCAGGGATAATAGATGTAAATTGCAGACAAATAAGTATTGAAATGTCATTCCTGCTTCCAGTTCAACCTGCCATGCCTCTGCACTGGACGTTTTTATATTCTATGCCATGTGTCCCAGTGTACAAGAATGAAAAAAGAGATCTCAGTCTTTCTGACCTTTGCATGGATTTTGTAATTTCTGTAACTCAGTGTTTTGGAAATTCCCTCCACCACCCTCCCCCATTTCTCTCTCTTAACAGTTTTATACACACACACACACTTAGAGATATACACACACACATATATATGTGTGTGTGTATATGTGTGTATATATATATATGTATCTGTTAATTAACCAACATGTGTTTATTGAGTACCTAATATAGACCATGCTGCCTGAGGGAAGGATTCCAAATAAACTAAACTACTTTGTCTCTATCAAATATATAAAATATTTAACAAGAAGTTCTTATTTTTATTTATTTATTTTTTTTTGAGACAGAGTCTCGCTATGTTGCCCAGGCTGGGGTGCATTGTCACGATCTCGGCTCACTGCAAACTCTGCCTCCTGGGTTCAAGCGATTCTCCTGCCTCAGCCTCCCCAGTAGCTGAGATTACAGGTGGCCGCGATCATGCCCAGCTAATTTTTGTATTTTTAGTAGAGGCGGGGTTTCACCATGTTGGCCAGGTTGGTCGCAGTTCTTATTCTTAAGAAAATTACATTCCAGTTAAGAAGCGTGAATAATAAAAGCAACAAATCTAAAGAACTGTACAGGACATTATAGTATCTCAACCCATTAGGCAGCTTTAGTATTTACTTTTTTCCTCGTTCAACTTTGGTTTTCTTTTCCTTTTTTGAAATCAATTCCTTACAATGATCTGTTCCTTTGTATCTCTGTCTCTGTTGAGCTTGCATAGCACACCTGTAACCCTGGATAAATCCAGTTACTTGCCTTTTCTCTCACATTCTAAGCTCCTCTTAAGGAAATTGGTGTTGTTAAGAAAAATCCGAAAATTTGGCAGCTTGTGTACATTCCCTTCATTATCACTAATTACAAACAGGTACACAACACCTACTGGAAATGTCACTGTGTGTGTCAAACTTGTTTATTCTTCCCCTCTACTTAATACTTATTACAAACCTCTATTTTTTTCTGTTCTTTCAAACCTTCTTTTTCACCTCTTTATTTTATCTTTCTCATGCTTTATTGAGGGTAAAAAAAAAAAAAAGCCATTGGATCTGGCCAATTCCAAAAATGTGCATCTCCACTAGTCATCTCTGATAAAAGTAGGGGTAGCCATCTGTCATAAACTAGGTTTCTTTAAGATAAAAACATTTAAAACGTTAAAACATTTAAAAAATTGAGAAAAACTTAAAAGTAAAAATGCATCTCAGACTTCTGATTTTAAAATGCAAATAAATGACATTACTCCTTTTGTCATTTGAAAATCACACTGTAAATGCGGAAATACAAAAATTGGACAAAAGCTTCATTTTCAGGGAAGACACAGAAAGACGATTTAGCCACCATAGACCTAAAAAAATTTAGTGTCTTGAAGTAGGAAGCACCTTTTGAGAAGCATACTATATGAGTTTGCTAGGGTTGCCATACAAAGTAGCATGCGCTGGCTGCGTTCAATAACAGAGTTTATGTTCTTGTGATTTTGGAGGCTGGAGGTCGAAGATCAAGGTGTTGGCAGCGTTGCTTCTGCTGAGGCCTCTCTGCTTGGCTTGTAGGTGGCCGCCTTCTCCTCCCTGTGTCTTCACGTGGTCTTCCCTCTGTGCATTATGTCTGTCTGAATTGTCTCCTTCCTTTCAAGACATCAACCAGAGCCAGGCGCGGTGGCTCATGCCTGTAATCCCAGCACTTTGGGAGGCCAAGGTGGGCGGATCTTGAGATCAAGAGGTCGAGACCAGCCTGGCCAACATGGTGAAACCCCGATTCTACTAAAAATACAAAAAAAATTAGCTGAGCATGGTGACAGGCACCTGTAATCCAAGTTACTTGGGAGGCTGAGGCAGCACAATCGCTTGAACCCCAGAGGCGGAGGTTGCAGTGAGCTGAGATTGCGCCACTGCACTCCAGCCTGGTGACAGAGCAAGACTCTGTCTCAAAATAAATAAATAAATAAAGATACCAAGCATATTAGATTAGGGCTCACCCTAATGACCTTTTAATTACCTCTTTAAAGGCTCCATCTCCAAACCAGTCACATTTGGGGTACTGGAGGTTAAGACATATACATTTTAGGCTGGCGTTGGGGGTGCACAATTCAGTCCCTAACGCACACTACCAACCAGCTCTTTGGAGAGGGGCAGGATGCTCAGGCTGGTGGTAGGAACTTCCGTGGACTTCCTTTGACGCTGAGTGCATGTAGGTTAGGTCAGATTGACCCACAGAGTCCTTCGGTGAGGCAGGATGGATGCAAAGTGGCCAGGCATTGTGAGCAGTATTGGAGCTTCTAAGGAGCTGGCTAGGGAGACACTAAAAAAAAAATTCTATTGGAAATCTTGTGTCATAAAAAATTTCACTGAATATCTGCCTGGAACAAGGCCAGAAGTCACTCCCTCTCTGCCTCCACTGCAAATATCTCGTCCAGGAATCAAATAAATAATTGAAAATGGGTCTTTACAGAGATGCTGAAAGAAAATACAAACAAGAAAAACAGAAGATAAAAAAAATGGCGAAGGAAAAATAGAGGACCGGCTGGAGAAGAAATGGAACAGAAATGAAGGGTTGGAGAGGATTAAAGAGAAAAGAGCAGGCAATCAAAAGTGTATGTTGCTGGGCCCAAAAATGGAAACAGTGGACACTGGGGATTCCAAAAGGGGAGAGGGAGGGGGAGAAGAAAGGATTGAAAAGTTACCTATCGGGTACTATGTTCCCTACTTGGGCGATAGGATGATTAGAAGCCCAAACCTCAGTGTCACACAATATACCTATTTAATCAGCCTGCACATGGACTCCCTGAATCTTAAAAGGAATTCTAAATAAATATGATGGACATTGTTGGAATCTCTGAATAGAATCACCAAAATAATGGATCGGAAAACCTTTGAACAATACATTTGAAGATGATTTTCCTGAGAAATAGAAGGTTTGAATCTACAAAATGAATGCACCAAACATATATTGGGAGAAATTAACAGACAATAATTGCAGTTGAGAAATATAGCCTAGTAAAGTTACTAAATTCTCAAGGCAAACTTATTTGCTTAAGCGTACAGGTGAAACCCAAGTTATCTATAAGCCAGAAAAAATAATTTCATCTTATAGTTAGCAATAGCAATAGTCAGGACCCAAAAGAAAATGGAACAATGTCTATGAAGTCCTCAAAGAAAAAAATATAGGACTGAAGTTTAGGCCAAGGCAACCAAAATGACTGTCAGATATAAAGACAACAGATAGGCTGTTTTTGAACATGTAAAAAGAAAATCAGTGAACATAATTTCCATGGTCTTTGATTAAATCTTGGGGTACATTCCTGCCTATAATAAATTTAATAAAGACTGGTAGTGAATACAAGTAAATATAGGAGGAAAAACTAAAACAGGTGTGAGAATCATAGTTACAAAAAAGAATGTAAAAGTCATAAAGCCTGACAATGTAAAAGTTACGGATCTTTTAGAGGCTAGATTTGGGAGGAAGAAGGAGGAGCAATGCTGGGAGACTCTGTAAGGATTTGGATCTATAAAGCCAAGGCTCAAAGATATAATTTGAAACACACACATCAGGCAGTGTATATATTAGGATACTTAATATAAACATTAAGAAAATGGTATAATCCATAAAGTTGAGGGGGAAGGAAAATGTTATCTAAATTCTTGCTTATAGTAGAGAAACTGAAGAGAAAGGAGGATTAGAATACTATATAAAATTATAGTTATAAATGTAACTATGAGAACAAAAATGAACCTAAATTCTCAGAGGAAATCCAGATAAGTCAAAGACCATATAGTGGATAAGTATATATATGTATGTGTGTATATATATATTTGTGTATATATATACACACACATGCACACACATATATTTATATCAGAGAACATATAACCTATGATAGAGCTAAGAGCAAACATTGTGCATCACTTACTAAGTGGAGATAATTGTAAACAGACCAAACATCCTATTAAACAAAAGCACTCACCAATGGACTCAAAATGTAAAATCTAACCTGTGGTATATCTGGGAGATATCACATCCTTCTCATGGCTATGTGAAGGCTAGATTTGAAAGAGTAAGTATGCAAATAGAAGACCAGTCAAAAAGATACCAGTTTTTCACAAGAAAGGCAATGGAGTCCTGACCTGAGATAGAGAGTACATTCAAAGAATTTGTTATTACTGAGTATGGTATGGAGAGAGAGGGAGAGTGACTCTTAGGTTTCTTACGGGTGCACCATCAACTGAGGCAGATCATACCAGGGGAATATTGATGCAGGATTTTTTGCTGCTTAGTTCGCTGAAATCTGGGTTCTTGTCTCATGACCAGGAAAAATTAGGCACAGGAACACATTGAAAGGTGAGGAGGGTGGATTCATTACGCAAAAAAAAAAAAAAAAAAAAAAAAAAAAAGAAGAGTTCCTGCCAACAGGCTGTCACCTCACACTGAAAATCAGGCCACCACACACAACCCAGAGAGGACAGGCTCCTCCTCCCACGTAAGGCATGAATTCCTGGTGGCTCTATCCCAGTCCCCCAGTGCATGGGGCCTCCAGTCCAGTGTGGGTATGCCCAAGCAAGACCCTGTGCAGGTTCCTTATCCACACAAAAACATCTCGTGTAAACACTTGTGGGACCAGTCGAAGATTCTCTGGGGACACTTCCTTATCTGCCTAGGCATTTGTCTGCCTCCTGCATCTCTCAAAAGGTTTTTAAAGAGAAATATGGTACATTTTATCTTGTACCTCTATTGAGATGCATGGGTCTATGGAGCTATCTCTGTAGATTTGCTGGATGTTTAGTGTCTACCTTTATCTAAATTTTGGTGTGCAGGTATAGGAGGAAGATACTAATTTGAAAGTTTTCCCAGCAGAGGGAGTAAGATAAGGTTCATGTTTTATCTCTGAAATACATGTTAAACATGAAAATGAAATTTGGGGCTATTCCTAGAGTTCAACATACAAGGAGGTTAAAGTTATAATGGAAATGATAAATGGGAAGGAAAAAAACCCCTTCTTCTCCTTCAGTTAGAAAAATTCAATTTCTTTGATTGACTGCCATATGGTGGAACACACACTAAATTTTACATATGCTAAAAAGTTAAGGATTGTCTAGTGCTTTTGCTAATCTAATTCTTGCAACAAGTTCTTACTTTTCTTAGTTTATAAGAGAAAATCTGCCAGGCAGAGCACTCCAAATTACTGCAATAACAGCTGTAAATACATGAAATGCACTTATTTTTACTGCATGGGTTTATTTAATGTTAATAGGTCAATTTACCTGGTTTATTTCTTGTCAGATTCATATTTTTAAATGGTTTTATAATTGTACTTAACACTGAAGCCATTGTAATGCTTATTTCTGATAAAGTCGAGTTTGGTCAAGTATATCTTCAAAATATCGAGTGAACTTCTGACTTTTTCTGTTATTCATGAAAAAAAGAATCCACTTCATTACAGCAGTGAGTCTCCAACAAGAATATTCCAAACAAGTCATCTAACATTTCAAGTTGTTCAAATCATTTTCCTTTTGGCGTCGTAACTTAAAACCCTATTTGAGACACGCTGCAATTATGTAGAAAAGCGCAACTTGTCAAATCTCATAGCTTTTAAAGTCCCAATCAATTGACATGAAGCATATTCTATGAAGGTTTTTGCCAAAATGGTATTTGTTATTGAGTGGTGGCACTCCAAAGAAATCTCTTTTTTTTCCCTCTCTTTGAGACAGAAGAGAATAGTAACGAAAAAGGGAATGCTGGAGGGAGGCGGTGTGCAGAGAAAGGAGGGAAGCAAAAAAAAAAAAAAAATGAGAGAGACTTATTTAAGTTCCTTGAGTGTACTCAAGTACTTTCAGGATACAGAAAAGTTCAAAGGTATAACCTTGGAGCAATCTCTACCTTCTGGCTGGTTTGGGATTGGTGGTGGTGATGGGTGTAGCAGGAGACAAAGAAGGCAGCCAAATCCTAGAGTCCGATGTGGTAAACAACAGGAAATGAAAGCTAAAAGCCTATCTCATTGACAAAAGGATAGGAAGGGATGGTGTGTTCAGACTGAATTGAAATTACACAAGAAAAGTGAATTCTGCTTCCACGACATCCATTTCCTCATCCTGTTTTTTCCTCCTTGCATTTGCTATTAATCTCAAACTCTTTCTGCAATCACAGTTTTCTCTCCTTTTCTCTCTCCCATCCTTCTCTTGCTACCCCCTTGCTCTGTCTCGCTTCAATTGTTTGTAGCCTCTGTGTTTACCCATATCACCTCTAACACATATACTTCCCTCTTTCTTTCTGCTCTCTTTGTTATAATAATCCTCTCTTTCCAAAAAGTCCTGACAAATTTCTGAGACTGGCCAAAAAATAGAAGTCATGAAAAATTTCTAAGAATGGCCATAAAAAATGGCTCACAATATCTTCAGATATTTTGTAATGTGTTTAAATTTTCTTCATCTTCATAGATGTGAGGAAGGAAAAAAGGTATCTATTATATGTCCTGGCTTCATATTTTAAGTATCTATTAGAAGCTATAGTCTCATAGTACCAAAAGTTATGTCTCGACATTTTATCTCTGTATGATATTAGTTCCATGAAAAAGTCAATACTTGGTAATTCCATAAAATGTTTTTTTTTTTGGTCTGGGATATTTCAAATGATTTGTATTTCTGCCTAGTACTTATCAGTGATTCACTGATGCTTAAATTGCTTTAGAAAAATATTGGTAGGCAAGCATAAAATTTTTTGAGCAAATTAGACTTCATAGCAGAAAAATGTCTCAAATTACCAATATATGTGAAAAATTAGAAGGATTTGTCTCTTTGGCATGTAATACTAAAGGCATTTTGTGTAATTACTTTTTAAAATATAAGTAGCTTATGTTAGTGCCTGGAGTAATAGACAGGTAGATAGGAGAGTAATGAAAGAGTAACTGATCTGATAGAACTCTCTTGGGCAAATTTCTAGTCCAGGCTCTCCACCTAACCAGTTTTCTGCCTTTGGTCACATTACTCAAAGTCCTTAGGCTTCAACTGTTTCATTTGCTAAAAATTGAGGGTGTTAGGCTGGAACCACAATGCTTCTTTTAGCTCTATGCCACCATGTAACTTTAAAAAAAGATACTTACAAAAGTGATCATCATGCTCATTTCCTTCTTAAAGTTCAGCATGCTTTTAAAAGAAAATGACCCCATAAAATGTCAGGGCATTTTAAAAATGAATGCCATTTGGGAATTTAAATGTATTCTATGTCTAAATTATTTAGATTCACTCTAAATCTGAGAAGTGTATTTCTTAGTCTAGAAGTACCTAACCCTAAGCGGGAATGATAATCCATTTTTTTTTTTTGTCTGACTACTACATAAACTAATTGTATTCCAAAACAAATAACAAGATACTTTTGCATAGTTTGAACTCTGAAGATGAGATATATAAAGAAAGATGTTTATTTACATAAGCTACTGTGAAATTTAATTTCAAGTAGCTGAACCAAAAGAATAAAGTGATTGACTATTCAACACAGTCTTGCTTAGGGCATGCTCCGTGACAAGCTTTTGGGTTAGGTGCTGAGGATGCAGAGAGGAAGGATACAATTCATGCTCTTGAATATTCACCGTCTAGCTGAGGATACTGAGATATAGCAGTAAGGGATAGGGTCAGATACAGAGATACACAGGTACTCAGATTCAGGGGTGGCCCAGACAGTAGAGTCAGTGTACTGGGGGTGAGTGACTGCATAAGATGATGTCTTAATTCTGTTAGGAAAGATAAAACTATGTATTCCACGCATGAATATGTATTCCAAGAGGAGGAGGGCAAAAGGAACATTGTCAATAGATGACAAAGCATGGGAAAAGGCCGGATGTGGAAATGGAATCGTGAGTCGGGAGGAAACGTGAGCATTTCTCTATGACTGCAGAATAAACGACAGGTAAATTTTCATGGTGGGAGAGGAGAGAAGAAAGCAAGCAAGGAGGTATAAAACAAAGAATGGCTTGTATGCTGTATTATGGAGCTTAGAATGTACCCCGTATACATCCGGGAATGTGGAAATAAATTTATGAATGGGGCGCTTTTAAAATTTTTACTTTAAAAGACTAAGGAGAATAAACTAATGGGGTGGAGGCAAGAGACTCCTACAGCAGTCAGGAGCCCATTGTAAAAGTCTGTTTTAAAGATGATAATGAGTTGTAACTGTAACAGAATTCAAAGCTCATACTGCCAGCTGCACGACAGCCAGTAATTTGAGAGACAAGGTGTTGGGATGAGGAAGGTGACTTTTTTTCGGAGAGCCAGTAGACTGAGAAGATTTTGGACTAACGTCCTAAAGAATCATCTTAAGTTAGTAGAAGTTTAGGCTCCTTTTATGTTATGAGAAGGGGGAGAGGAAAGGATTGAGGTCAGCAAGTGGCTGATGGTCACAGACATCTGGGAGTCAGTGACGGTTGGATGGGGGGTTGTGAAACTTCTTTGTCCTTAGGCCACAATGCTCCTATAAATCTTGCACATAACATCGTTACTCGTGTTACTTTTGTGTACACCCTATTTTCTTGTGAGTTAGTTTTGGGAAGGGACTATTATCATCCTTGCTTTAAAGTTAAACTAGAAACTAAATTCTTCCCATAGTTAGGTTGGCCTATGTGCAGAGATAAGCACATACAGAGGCTGTTGATGTAAAACATACCACCACATGGTGGGGGAATTAGAGCAATATGTAGTTAGTTATGCTAGGCATCTTTTTCAGTTACAAAACTCTCATTCTCAGAGGGAGAAGACAGGTGTATTTTAAAGAATTGGCTCAAACAGTTGTGGGGGCCAGCTAGTCCACATTTTAGGACAGCAGGGTCAAGGGTAAGCTAGCAAGGCTGGAAGCTCAGGCAGAGTTTCTATGTTGCAGTCTTGAGGTCATATTCTTTGATCTTCAGTCCTTACCTTAGCCTTCAACTGATTGAATAAGGCCCACCCACATTATGGAGAGCAGTTGCTTTCCTGGATATTTACAGATTAAAATGTTAATCACATCTAAAAATACCTTCTCAGTAACATCTATGCTGGTGTTTGGCCAAGCATCTGGGCACCGTAGCCTAGCCAGGCTGACACATAAATGTAAGCATCATGACTTGCATTTTCATTAATCTTATGTATTAATTTATTGTGAATTGTTACTCAGGATTTGTGAGTGATGTGATTCATTCTCTCTCTCCCCCATCCTCTCTCTTTCCTCTTCACTCAGCAACTCGGAAAATAAAATTAGGATAGCACTAGGAAATGAAATTTTAGCCAAGCAATATTTTTAGTTTGTTATCAGCAGTTGTGAAGATATGATTATTAAAACAGTATAAAAGATCACTTCTCTGAGTGAAAAATAACAGCACCAAAAGGGATCCCACCATGACACAGCATGATTGCAGCTCCCTTCCTCCACTGCCTGGTCAGCTTTGCAGCACTGGCCTTTAGTATTTGTGATCTACACATGAAGCCCATGCTGACATGAGCTGTGATCAGTATACAGGAAACCGAACATGTCTCTGCCCTTAAAACAAGTCTTCTGTTCAGCAGTTCTTAGCCTAATGCATTTAACACTCTAATGCTTCCTAAAATCACTCCCAGCAGCATGAGACAAGCTGCATCTCTGTGGACAATCATTGCAAGCAAAGATGTAAGACTCTTTCTGGACCCTAGAGAGAACATCCTTCTAAGAGTCGTATGTTGCTCTCTAGAAATCAGTTTTGCATTTGGGGGTTTGGACTAAAATACGATAATTTCATGCTCTGAGATTTGAATCATCTCCATTACACCAATTATTTTAGCAAAATTATCAAGTGTATGAAATGTATTGCAAAGCTTCCTCACTTTTCCCTTTGGAGGCCTAGGTTTTCTATTTTTCAAAACTCCCATTGTGACTCCTTACTTAATCTTGACCTTTCTGGTTAAAACCATGTCATAAATTCCTGGCCTCTGTCCCAAATTTAATGTTCTATATCCAATTTCTACACAGCTTAGCTAGAAAAGCAACAACATTGATATGTGGCAATAGGTTATAGGACAGGTCAGGTTGGGTTGATGGGCTTTATATTTAAGGCAGTATGAAAGCTTTTTAACGTGTTTGTAGAAAAAATGCTTTAACCACTAGGATGAAATTAATGGGAGGAATTTGGAGTTCCAAAGAAATCTGATGGGATGTGCTGGGGTTTTTTGTTGATGTTGCTATTTTGTGTACTCTTCAAACCACACCATGGATATATAATTTCAACTGTAAATTTTAGTTTTTTTAAAGACTTACGTCCACCTTGACAAGATGTGAGTTCTGCATGAAGGAGTTTTGTACCTAAAGGCACACTTCCTAGGTGGCCAGTCTATAGATCTAATCTGAATTCCCTTCCTTTACTGGGGACGAGACATGTGCAGCATTGAGAGGTTGCCTAGAAAATAAAGACCAGGAAGATGGAGAGTACTTCACCTGCAGCCAGTTCAGTTGTTGAGGAAGGAGGAACAGACTTTGAATGGGTTATGAAAACCGAGAAGATACAAGCAGACTTCCGATGCTGGGGCCAATGCAAGGCAGTAGAGATCCGTGGAGCTGGGTGCAAGTCGTTCCCAGTCATGAGGCTGTCCCAGACAAGTTTCCGGAAAGAAGTTGTCTGCCTCTGACTATTATAGTTCCCCACTGTTTGTCCTGTGGGAGGCCCAGATGAGATGGAGTCTTCAGCGAACTCACCTCTGTTTCAGTCACTTCTCCTTCTTTATATTCCCCTCTTCTACCATCTTCCTAAGCTTTTTTTTGTGGGAAGAGTCACTCAGGTCATACCCGACTACCCATCTGATTATGCTACTCCCAGAAGGTTACAAAAGCTGGTCTTTATTTTAACTTTGAGGTTGGTACCCAAACAAAAATTACACCATTACATTTCAGAAGTTGTCTATATTGTGAATTTTAGAATGTTGATTTTTCTGAATTCAAAGAAATGTCATGAATGGGTAAGATGAGAATGGTTGCATAGTCCTTTCAGACTAGGGTAAAGAATATTTCTAATGTTTTATTTGATCCTTATTGGCATAGCCCTGTGAAGTAGGCAGGACAAATATTTGAATCAAATTACACAGGAAACTTTAAGTATGTGTCTAGTATGACATGCATAATAAATTGAAGACTTGTGAGTAGAACATAGGTTTTCCAAAGTCCAGTCTTGCTCCTTTCTTATGAGTTATTATTAAGGATTTATCAAAGAAATCTAGCTAATTATTTGAAAGATTTATGGAAATATATGCTAATTGTTCAGATTAAACAACAAACACACAGTCTTTTCCTGTAAACCTAACTGGAGGAATATGCTCTTTTCATATTTTATGATAAGCTGATTTCATCAAGTTGCTCCTCTAATTACTTAAACATTATAAAGCCTAAGCCACATTACTAAAGACTATAAATTAAATAGGGAACTTTAAGTTATTATTGCTTAACAAATCAAGTTTTTCTAAAAAAATGTTTCTCTTTCCCTTGAAAAATAAAACAGCATTCATGAGAAGTCAGATTTCTTCTTAGGTATTACTAGCTTGGGAAGTTGCCTAACATTATTGAGCACCTACTTAGTAATGTTCACATTATCATCTCACCCCTACTAAGAGATTATTTCTCCACTTAACTGAGCACTCTAATAAATTGTCTGAGGACTTCTGGCTAAGTGGCAGATCCGAGATGAACACCTCAGTGTTTCTATAGCAAATCCTATGCTTTTTCTACTATGCTACTAAGTTGTTCTCTAAAACCATAAATAATAAGAAGCTAATACACTCATTCAACTAGAAGACTATATCCTGTTTGTATTTCCAAGGAGTTAAAAGAAGTTAACTGTAAAGCTTGTAAAATGTTAAATCTAAATATCACACTGAGCCTTGAATTGCTCTTTAAGTAACATCCCTGTGCTGTAAAAATCCATTTGCAATAAATTTTCATATGCAAGCTAGAGGATTTCAAAGTCTTTCTGGAAGGCCCATGGGCCCTATGCAATTCTTACTCGTTACATTCTTTCCTCTGAGTGCTAAGATATTCATTGTTAGAGGGACTTAGTCTATTACCTTAAAATCAAGTCCCAGTCAATTATTATATATTGATTTTCATTTTATGTGGATAAATGCTTTGCTGTTACGGAAAATGCTGTACCTACCAAAAGTGTCAGTTGCATATTATCAGTTGCAGAACAATGAAACAAGCATGTATATATAAATTTTCCAGTTGCTTTTATATGTAGGAAAGCCTTTAGAGAAGATGAACCTTAAAAATGAGCTCTCATGGTAAAATGAAACCGAATTTAGTGTTTATAATTTTCTGAATGCAATTATTTATGTATTGCAGTGCTCCCAAAATTCTAATTATGATGATCAGAGGAGTACTTTGAAGCTTGCTGAGAATAACTAATATAATCATCAGAATTTGAGGTATCTTTCATTGGCTAGTTAGTGCAGGAATGACATGTAGCACAAGAAGGAAAATGTTTCACACTGGAAGAATTTTTATTGAATGCTAATAATTTTGATCAGGCAGGGAATCTTAACACCAAAAACAACATACTTATTTGCCTAAATTACTTTATCTTTCTTTTTTTCTTGCAGGTTTGTGTGTGTGTGTGTGTCTTTGTGTGTGTGTCTGTGCCTAATAGATATATAAAATGAAACAGATATGCATACACACACTTCTCTCATAAAGAAAAGAGCACAGGTATTAAAGCAGCTAAGAAATAAGAAAAGTAGAAAGTCAAAGATGTATTGCATTTTTAAGTAATGTATTGCATTTTGTATGAGTAATCTAGAATATTGTGTGAGAAATGAGTTCTCTGGGATATTAAGTGCTTTCTGTTAATTATATGCCAAGATGATCACAATAAATGGAGAAGACTGTAAGTTTGGAATAAAGTCATATGCGGTAAGCAAAAGTAAGATAGTGCTTTTAGGCTACCATGATCAGAACTGTCAGAGTGAATTAAAAGTGGGGAATTCAGAAATGGAACCTGGAGGTTGCTCTTCCCAAACATATTGGGCCAGTATACTGCTGGGTGGTGTTAACGTGAAAATCAGGAAAAAAATGAAAGCAAATTCCACTGCTATAAGATCTTGAAAATCTTGAGGTATACTCACTTGGAAAATACAACCCTTACATGCATTTTTTTGCAATATTCACAATAAGCTTGTAAATAATAAGCAATTCTAGACTTTGACCAATACACTTTCAAAACTTTGCATTGTGGGTAGGCCTGGTGGCTCATGCCTGTAATCCTAGCACTTTGGGAGACTGAGGCAGGAGGATCACTTGAGGCCAAGAGTTTGAGACCAACCTGGGCATCATAACAAGACCCTGTCTCTACCAAAAAACAAAACAAACAAGAAACAACAAAACCCCAAAAAAACCTCTGTATTGTCATAAATTTTGGAGTAAAATCTATCCATTGAATTTAGGTAAAAAGAATAAAGACTTTGATTATTAAATGAAAGAACATTCTGGAATATTGGTGCCGTCTGTCAGCCAATACTTTAACTTCAGCAGTAGCCCGTTTTTGTCCAGTAGGGAGTATTTTTTGGCGATCAGCTTTTGTTGTATTCTGTTCTTACTGTTTTTAAAGAATAAATGTAAAACAGAAAAATGGAAGTGCTAACATTAGTAGTAGAAGCACAGACCACATAAACTTAATACTATACAGAAATGTTGGACTCAAATAAATCAACAAATATTTAGACTCTGTGGTTTGCTGGGTTTAATTGGGTTGACTGTGTATATTGCTGAGGACATTTTTTAAATGAGAGAATTTATTAAATTAGGGAAATGTCTTAAATGGTCTTAATGTATCTTTGAAGATTTTTGCAAATAGATACTTTCTTCTTTAAAACATCCACTTATTGTTTTCAAGCTTCACATATTGGATTTCCAGTATTCTTTGCAAGGATGTGTTATGTGTAAGGAAAGTTTGAGTATGCAAGCATGGATGTAAAACTGACATTAAAATTTACTAGCTGTTTGATATTTTTTTGGCAACTTATTGAACTTCTGTGAACATCAAAATTCTCATCTGTAATTTGGAGATAAAGAGGATTATATCACAGGTTTTCATAGTTACAAGTCAGGATGACAAATGAATTTAGCCCAATCCCTGACATGGTTAAGTGCTCTGCTCAATAAATGTGATAATGATTACATATTTCAACTCTAAATTCTAAATGCTTACCAGTGGGTTACAGTGTGGGCCTCACTGAAAAGAGATATTGAATTGGAAAACTTCTAAGCAGGGTGATGATCATAAAAACAAGTCTCTTTAGAATGGAAATCAGAAACAAAGGATGAGTATCACAATGATGTTGGAAGGCTGACTTACCACAAAATGGTACGTTAGAATGAGAAGTTAATCCTCTACTCCTTATTTTCTTTAGAATAAAATCCAACTTTCCTTATAAGAGTTTCAAAGTTCATGAAGATTTGATTTCTGTTCAGACCTCTAGTGGCATCTTTTACGGCACTGCTCGTATGTCCTATGACCCAACCACTCTAAACTACTTTTAGTCACAAAGATGTACCATGGCCTTTTGCATGGTACTCTGTGCCGAGAACATAATTTTCATAATTAACATGGCTTTTCTAAATCATCTTTTACATCTTATTTTGGTCATTTTTATTCTTCCCATTACCTGTCTAATGTGTTCCTATATATTGGCACAGGAGGAATGGGCATGCTTTTCAAATTGCATTGCTTGATTATTTTTATCTTTCATTAGACTGTGAGCTCTGTGATGATGGCTCACCTTTAATTTCTGTATCTTGCACAGTGCATGGCATAGAATAGGCAGCTAATAGATATTTATAGATGAAAGAAAAAATGAATGAGTTTTGAGGTAGATAGAGGTTAATATAAGGGTAATCAAAGAAAATAATGTGGAATTATTTTATCAAATTGACAACACTAAGAAGTGGTACAAATATAAAAAGTTTTAAAAGATGATTTGGCAACATCAATGCATAGCAATAATGGATACTTATATAAGCATTGCCAAGGGCGCTAGGGAATAGGATTAAGAGCCCTAACTCCTGGGACACCCAGTCCTAATACACATTGAATAACCTCTGTAAAGTCACTTAACTTATCTATGGTAGGTTTATCAGTACAGTAGGGATAATAAGATTTACGTACCTGAAAACAGAAGGTTGAATAAAATAATTTCTTCTAGTTCTAAAACACATGGCTTTTTAGACCAATTGTGAAATTGAAGACAGTTAGATTAAAAAATTCTGTATGCATATTTAAAAAGTAACCACTGTGAGTACAGTGTGTGCAGGGTGGGTGTAGTGTGCAGGGTTGGTGGAGTGTGTAGGCAAGCCGGAGGATATGGGTTTTGTGATGAAAGAGGATCCTATATGGAAATAAATGACTGGAGATTATACAAAATTGGAAATTTTAAACAGATATAATTTCAGTTAAAAAATTATAAACATTTACACACAATCATCTACATAGGTATTTTAAAAGTTTAATTGTGATGTGTATGACCGCGTATTCATATATAGTTCATGTTTATTTCAATATCTAAGAAGGTTTTATTTCCCTAGATATTAACTATTCCTATCTTATGCAAATCTCAGTGAATACAGATGATATGTATAAAGGTATTACTTTTGAGAGAGATTGTATTTGCTTGTCAGTTCAGGCCATACTTTAGATACAGTGAAATCCTCTTGCTTTCCAACTATAATACTTCTCCATGATAATGTATTGGGCTTAGTGTCAACTTTTCTGTGAATAAAAATCTTAGTAAGAGACTAGGTGGCAGAATTCGAGAGTTATGAAATGGAAATCAGCTGGTCTAAAAGCCTAGTGATGCACATTCTCAAAAGAAGGAAAGAAAAAAGCGATATAGTCAATGTAAAAAGAATATTTTAAAATGGAAGAAGTGGAGGTAATTGAATACACTGGTAGGATGTTTTGAGTTGAAGAAAATGTTAGTATGTCAGGAGATACAAATAAAGCAGAAAGAATTATAAAAGTTGACTATGAAAATCTTAAAAAATAGAAAGTGAAAGATAAACCCGAAAATAAAAATTTAAATATAAAGCTTTTTGAAGTGCATTATCTTTACAGATTTAAAAATAAAACATTAGAATTAGACTATTGGAACAGTTATTATAATATACCACAGAAGGGAAATGAGAGCCTTGAAAATAACTCAGAAGTAACAAAAGAGTGAAAAGTAAGGTGGACTTCTTTTTTTTTTTTTTTTTTTGGAGACGGAGTCTCGCTCTGTCGCCCAGGCCGGACTGCGGACTGCAGTGGCGCAATCTCGGCTCACGGCAAGCTCCGCTTCCCGGGTTCACGCCATTCTCCTGCCTCAGCCTCCCCAGTAGCTGGGACTACAGGCGCCCGCCACCGCGCCCGGCTAATTTTTTGTATTTTTGGTAGAGACGGGGTTTCACCTTGTTAGCCAGGATGGTCTCGATCTCCTGACCTCATGATCCACCCGCCTCGGCCTCCCAAAGTGCTGGGATTACAGGCGTGAGCCACCGCGCCCGGCCCAAGGTGGACTTCTAAGGCCATTAATATGAATACTAGAATAAAGTCACTAACAGTTTGTAATTAACTTAAGATTTAAAAAGGAAGACGTGAAATTTCACATATTTCACCTATTTCACAGAAATATGTGAAACAAAATTTCAATCATTCAAAAATATATTACTGCACTTCATATTAAGGCCCTACCACGTGCTAAGTGCTAGCAAGTCATGGGTTTATAAAAATAGATATCGTGACCTCCAGACATCTATGGCTTATTCAGAGAATTGGATAAGTGACTCAAGAATTACAATACCATCTGAGTGTGTATACCTGTGATCCCAGGACTTTGGGAGACTGAGGCAGATGGATTGCTTGAGCTCATGAGTTTGAGACCAGCCTGGGCAAAATGGCAAAACCCTGTCTCTACCGAAAATACAAAAACGTTAGCTGGGTGCACCCCTGTACTCCCATCTACTCAAGAGGCTGAGGTAGGAGGTTGGCTTGAGCCTAGGAGGTGGAGATTGCAGTGAGCCGAGATCCTGCCACTGCACTCCAGCCTAGGCAGTAGAGCCAGACCTTGACTCAAAATAATAATAATAATAATAATAATAATAATAATAATAATAATAATTACAATACCATGTGATAAGTGATGCCATAGATATAATAGCAGTAAGCATAGGGTCCTAACTAGGCCTCCTGGGTCAGAGGAAGAGGAAGGAATTTTAACATGGAAAGAATCTTCTAATTCTGCCTCGACAATGAGGAAGGAATACCAAACTGAATCATAGGAAATGCATGTGTGCAGGGGAAGGGGTGAGAAAATGGAGTTTGAAATGGAGTCCAGAGCAAGTAGCAAGGCACAGCGGAGTGGGTCTCACTTGGAGTAAGCAGTTCCGTCTTGTTGGAGGATACATGGATGCAGGAAGGCAGGAAGTGAGACCAAGGGGAAATTATCCAGATTTGGCAGGACTGACATGATCAGATTTTTGCATTTGGAAGTCTCCCTTGCTGGTGTTGTATTGAATTAGTTTAGCAAAATGAAGCCTGGAGACTTGGGATGGAGGCTCTGGAAATGACACAGGAAAAAATGAAGATGGTGTAAACCGCAACTGATGTCAAGTAGACATAGTAATGAAAATTGGCACCAAAGAGCCAACCGAAACGCCAGGGGTTTGGTCTAGATCCTGCTCTCTCTACACAGAAAGCCAGTAACTGAGACTATGAGTATTGCCAAGGAAGAAGGATTTAATCGGGCCCTGCAGGAGATGGGAGCTCAGTTTCAAATCTATCTCACTGATCCCCCCAAACTAGGGGTTTATAGAGCAGGGAAGAAATGTAACAATGTGTGAGAACAGCAACTAGGGAGGGACAAAGAAGCAATTATGAGGAATGAGAGGTCCAGCATCTTGATTGTCTGAATGTGGTGATCTGGTGAGTTTCAGTTCTTTGGCTGAAACTTCAGTTCTTCCACTGAAACTCAGACTTTTTTTTTTTTTTTTTTTTTTTTTTGAGAGGCCTGGAGGTTTGTTCTTGAGGAAGGAACTCAGATAAAATAAATACAAGGTTGAAGCTCTAAGTCCAGAAGGTTTAATTTCTTTGTTTGTCTAGAAAACTACCTATGGGACTACTGGATCGATTTCAGTTGTGTATAATATATGTGCGGGGATAGGAGAGGGAAAATGTTAGAGTAGATAAATTGTAGGGTTGAGTGACAAAAAATGATGATGTCATTCATAGTGATATGGCATGCTAGAGACCTAGGGTGGTAAGTGATGAATTCTGCTTCATATGTTTGTGGCTTTGTGCTTCTGAGAAATATAGATAGTTATGTCCCGGAAGTATTCAGATGCAAGAGTTTGGAGCACAGAAGTACAGTATGGGTCATGTCATGGCCATAAATAAAATCACCCAGGAATAAAATGAAGAAAGAGACAAGAACTTCTGAAGTGAGAAACATTTGCGGAACACTAGCACTGAAAGAAACCCAAAAGAAATATCCTGAAATATAGAAAAGTTGAGTCATAGTTGAAGGCCTAGCTTATTATACAATACCAGAATAAAATATCGGAATAACAGAAAATAAGATAACCATTTTTGTGTGTGATGTGTAGAGAAATACAAACCTTGACTCAGGGCAACACTCGACTGTAAGCCTTAGGCATGAAATGACCTAAGAAAAATGAAGCAGTGAAAATTCTTCTTATGAAGAAACTATAGTAAGTTAAATTTTAAAAGTACTAATAACTCAATTTCAAGTAGAACTATCCCATGACTTCACTTAAGTCTTGTTCTGGATGTCTTTCAAATTATGACAGTAATAACCAGTCATGCATTCTGGTTCACTGGTCTTCTGTGAAGCACTATGGGTGTAAAAATAATTTAAATCTTTGGAAAAGCAATATTCAAAGTCATTTCAGAATAATGAAGACAGTATAGCTGTGGCAAAAGTTGAAGTGCATTAAAGAGATCTGCACTTTGAAAGAGATTTTTAAAAATCATTGGTGGTCATAAAGGAATAAGTTGGGCCATCCTTTCACTGTAATAAAACTTAAATTATTGCCAAATGATTTGTTAGTCGAGTTTCTGAATTATTTTGTCTCACTTTAATATTGTTGTTTTCTTTGTAATATAACTTTTTCTCCATGTAAGAAATGGTCATGTAGACCACCTTTTTAAAAGCTATGCAAAAATCATCCCAATAGAAGAACAATATAAGTAATCATTAACCAATCACATTCCTGGATGGGGACCAGTGATGCATATTAAATGTGCTTATGTTCATTGGCACATCACAATTTTTATTGTTAATATACTATAGTCAATTTCTCTGGACTCTGTTTTTCAATTAGAAAGTTCCAAAGAAAATGAAGTCTATCGAACTAGTGGGAAATCATACATAGCACCGTGGAACTTCATTAATGCTGAGCCAGAAAAAAGTTTACTTTTGATTTATTCTCTAAAGGCAGGATTTTACTAGGCAAACCAAAGATGTATGTGAAATATGGGAAATATATTAAATGGCTTCAAGTCATCCTCAGGTACACTGTGAGTACCATTTTAAACACAATTGACATTCTTTTTAGTATCTTTCTGAGAACTCCTACTAGGCAGTACTTTGTTAGCTTAGGTCTATTTTAACTATGCTTTAAAAAGTTAGAACTGCATATCTTTGAATACATTTCATAGTTCTATATCTTTACTAAAAGGAGCCAAATCGATTAATCATATGTAGTGATATTTTACTATACGTAAGACTGTAAAAAGGGTTTAACAAATCCATCTTGATAATTCAGCTTGTAGTACTAGTTTATAAAACAAAGTATGTATTTTTCAATTTATTCTCAAAATAACTGCTTTATCTGATGCTCCTCTTTTAAAATCATATGAAAGTGTTAGGTTGCAAATGTTCTATTTTTAAATCAAAATGTTATTTTTCAAGCTAAGTTTATTATTCAGATGGGCTGATTTTCCCAAAGTAAGTGAAATAGCTGTGTGTGCGTAATGGATACAGATATGTTCAAATGACTACTTGACTATTTCTATTTGTAGTAGTTTCAAGTCCTAAATATCGTTATTGCATAGGAATGGTGAAATGGAAGTGGTGGGCCTCTTTTTCTAGAAATGTACAGACAGACGAAAACCTACTTTAGTTAGTAGTTTGGTTATAAGTCTTAAATTTTAATTTTAAAAAGTATATGATATTATTTTAATAGAAGAAGAGGCTTTATTTTCAGGTTTTATTTATAAGCTTAAGTTGCATAATGGTTGTGTCATTACTTGGTTGAGAAGGTCATTCTATTTTTTATTATTGCTGTAAGAAGCTAACCTTTTCATTAACTATAATAAAAACTTAATGCTTTTAAAGTGAGAGTAGTTCTTATAAAGGGGTGAAATGATCACATATGAAAAGTAAGACTATAGGATGTTTAGGGAGAGGTTACAGCAAGAATGTTTAAAATTTTTACTCTTTCAACTAAAGTTGAAGAGTAGATATTCCAGTTCTGGTGCAGCAGAGTATCTGCTACTGGTCTAATTCTTTCATAGATAATAAACTTTGGAAAATATGAAAATTATCTAAAGCTTTGGCAAGCCACAAAAATCAGCTAGATACTGGGCAGGAGTCAAACCTGGAGGATGAAAATAGCTTTGTGTGAAATTTCCATTGTTACGGCTTTAACTTGAACAACTTGTAGGGTGGTGTCTTAGTCTGATTGTGCTGTTATACCAAAATAGTTGAGACTGGGTAGTTTATAAATGATAGAAATTTATCTGTCTCACTTTTGGAGAATGGGAAGTCATTGAGCAAGGCACTGGCATTTGGTGTCTTATGAGGGTCCTCTTCCTCTGTCCTCACATGGCAGAAGGGGTGAAATGGTATCCTCACATGGCAAGATGTAGAAGGGCAAAAAAGGAAAGAGCACTGAGTTCTCAACAGAAGAGCAGGACAGAATGAATCCAGTCTCTCAAGCCCTTTTATTTATTTATTTTTAATTTTTTCCTGTTTTTTTTTTTTATATACTGTAAGTTCTGGGATACATGTGCAGAACGTGCAGGTTTGTTACTTAGGTATACACATGCCATGGTGGTTTGCTGGACCCATCAATCCCTCATGTACATTAGGTATTTCTCCTAGTGCTATCCCTTCCTTAGCCCCGCACCCCCAACAGGCCCCGGTGTGTGATGTTCTCCTCCCTGTGTCCATGTGTTCTCATTGTTCTACTCCCACTTATGAGTGAGAACATGTGGTGTTTGGTTTTCTGTTCCTGTGTTAGTTTGTCTTAAGCCCTATTTGTAGGGGCTCTAATCCTATCTATGAGAGTTCCGCCTTCATGACTTAATCACCTCTGAAATGTTCCCCCCTCTTAATACTATCACACTATTTAATTTCAACACATGAGTTTGGGGGGATACATTCAGATTATAGTAGCTGGCTAACATTTGATAACATTTCTCATTTTTGGTGGCTTGAAGAACTAGGGAACAACGATTGGGTCAATCATAGCCAGTAGAAATGTGTGGAAGAAATCCCAGAAAGGAAAGATCCAGAAGGCAGGGAGGAAACCCATATCTTTTGTATAAACTCTACCCAAATTTCTGGCTGATCCCTGTACCTTCTACTATGGTGGAGTATCGAAGCAATCCAGCCAAGGCTAAAAACTAAACTGAAATTTGAGCTCCAGCCATTGCCCAGGAGACAGATTTTTCAGTTTGAAATTAGGTACATTATTAATTAATGCCTGCTAAAACAACAAAAACAAAACAACCCTCTTTAGAAGAATGTAAGAACCCAGAATGTTGACTACCTACAGGTCCCAAAGTCAAGAATACAAGCTTGCTCTTTTTCCCAAAGGGAGACTTTTTTTTTTTTTTTTTAATACTTTAAGTTTTCGGGTACATGTGCACAGTGTGTAGGTTTGTTACCTATGTATACATGTGCCATGTTGGTGTGCTGCACCCATTAACTCGTCATTTACATTAATTAGGTATATCTCCTAATGCTATCCCTCCCCCCTCCCCCCACCCCACAACAGGCCCCGGTGTGTCATGTTCCCCTTCCTATGTCCAAGTGTTCTCATTGTTCAATTCCCACCTATGAGTGAGAACGTGCGGTGTTTGGTTTTCTGTCCTTGTGATAGTTTGCTGAGAATGATGGTTTCCAGCTTCATCCATGTCCCTACAAAGGACATGAACTCATCCTTTTTTATGGCTGCATAGTATTCCATGGTGTATATGTGCCACATTTTCTTAATCCAGTCTATCATTTTTGGACATGTGGGTTGGTTCCAAGTCTTTGCTATTGTGAGTAGTGCTGCAATAAACATATGTGTGCATGTGTCTTTATAGCAGTGTGAATTATAATCCTTTGGGTATATACCCAGTAATGGGATGGCTGGGTCAAATGGTATTTCTAGTTCTAGATCCCTGAGGAAACACCACATTGACTTCCACAATGGTTGAACTAGTTCCCAAAGGGAGACGTTTTCTCATCCCTTAAGGTTGCTTGCTGCAAACAAAGCCCTGAGAATGGCCTAGTATAGAGATGTCAGGGCTTGAATGCTTGTCATTTCCTGTAAGAACTCTTGTTCAGGGACTCTCAGAGCCAGAACACATTGCCTCTCTCCACACCCATTGTTCTATTCCCCTACTTTAAAGTGGTCAGTGGTAAGAAAGAAAAAGTTACTGAGACAAAGGATGAAAAGACCTTGGAAAGAACTGAAGGCATTAACCGGGAGTTCTTGGGCTATATGAGGGAAAGGAAAATTCTCCTAACTATTCAAAACGTGCTAACTGGTTTACCAGGTAATATTTTCCTAATCCCATACTTTTGATGATTCATTATGTTCAGAAATTCAATATAAGCAAAGACACAAATATATAAGTTAAGTATCATTAATTTAGGAAGACAGTATTTCAAATATTTGAAACCTAATTATGCAGTTTTCAATTTCAAGTAATGATTTCTTACATTCTTATAACTTTGCAATATTAAACTAGTTGGTGATTATTTTCTAAATGTAATCTACGACTGAATTCTAAAGCAATTTTTAATTGCTTCCCTTTTATGGAGGATCTAAAAGAAACCATTTCATAATAATTGGTGTAAATAATCTGGTAATTGTCATTCTTAGAAAATTTATTCACTAAAAAGTAAACTTATTTTAATGACATATCCGCTCTTTTAACAAGTGCCAACTTGAGTTCATGTGCTCCTTAGGAGGTAAGATCTAGTCTATGGACTTTGCTGATTGCTTACACAAACTATTTAAGAAACAGACAGTTAATATTTTTGTTAGTTTAGAATAATTATAATCAATTAAGGAAGGCAATAAAAATATTTTGTAAATTTTAATCGAGAATATCTATACTGAAAGAGTATAATTGTAGATATTTTTTCATGGAAAAATATTTTATCATGCTGTCAAACAGGAAACATATCGTAACAACTTTAGACATTTTAATCTAGCTGATAATACTTCCAGCATAGCAAGAAACTAATATTTTGGTAGAATAATTAGATACAAAAAACATAAAAAATGTGACCCAGAGAGACATTTTAGATAAGCTATATGTAAAAAGAAGTTTCAACTTAATAAATTTCTTTTAAAAACACCTGGTTTTAATTATCTGTAATTTCCTTTTCCACTCCTAAATACAATATTCTATCTATGTGTATAACATACATTTGGATATACTAAGGATAGTTCAAATATTTTCCAATTGCAGTTGTAAAAATAAAATGTAACATATCCTATAACCTGTATGATGAACTTTTGACACGAGATTTTCTTAAAAGAAGACATGGGATCCAAGGATCCTAAGCGAACACAAAAAGTGTTGACAGGATATCCTAGTTGTCAACAACTATTTGGGTTGACATACTCAAGAAACATCTGGGAAGAAGAGCTCCAGGGGAAAGCCAAAGAGATTAACACACAATCTAATAAATTTGTCTATTAAGCACAGTCAAAAGGTGTTTGACAAATCTGTTGAAATGTTAGTAAAATCAGCTTAAGGTGCATGGAAAATTAAGATTTTTAAGATTTGTTATAGTATTTATTACTGCAGACAAATATACACTTCACGTCCTCCTTCTGAAGGGAGGAGTAGTATATTCACCTTGGTTTGACCGACAAAAGATGGTGACACCCATCCCATCAAAGCAGAAACTTTAAATGTAAGAATGTGATTCAGCTTAACTTGCCATTTTTTCACCCCATGAGTGGCATGTTCCAAATTGGACCTTCTCTTTCAACACAGATCACAGTATAGAAAAGATACATGGAGAATATTTGAAGGTAACTCATATCTAACATGAGCTATGGTTCCACCCCTTTTAAAAAAAGACTTATTGAGACATACTGCTGTTATAAATTATCTTAATTTATTAGTGTTCATGTGTATGGTTGGTACCTTCCTACTAAAATGTGATAGCTCCATCTACTTGACCACCCTCGTGAAATTAATTAACAGTTGCTCTCTATTCAATTTCCTTGTTTTACTTTTATTCACTGTTTTAATGACTCCTTGAATCTGTGTTGTTGACTTGTATTTGAAAATTCAGCTTGCTGCACCGGAATGTAAGCTCAGGTGTCTTATGGCAAGAGTATCTTCACCACCTAGAACTAGGCTTGGCCCAGATTAGGTGATGAGATTCACAAAACTCACAAGTGGGTGAATACATTGACTACATGATAAGAAAGATAAAGGATATAAATTCATAACGTTTTAGGGCTGGAAAGGACATTTGTAATCATTTAGTTGAATATGATTAGCTCTGAGTGAAAAAACTGAGGCCCAGGGAGCACAGCTAATTCTTGGAAGAATTGGGACTAATTATTTAGCTGTCATCTAATTTACATTTCACTATGCCACATTGTGTCCTTTGTAAGTGAATGAATTTCTTCTTTTAGTCTTCATTTTACTCTGTGCCTACGTCTATTATCCCTTTACTATTTTTGGTCTATTGTAAATGCTTCATAAGCTTGTTTAATTAATACATGAATAGGTAATGAATAATGTAATAATATATATTGATAAATTATGTGACCTGGTAACATGTGGATTGCTTCAACTCTACTTGCTATGGGGGAACCTTTGATGATTATCTCTGGTATGCAATAGTATTGAAATCTTTTCTTTTCTTCATAGAAAGACTGTGTTTGTGTGTTTCAATGACAACAACTTTTAAGGTCATGGTGTCTAATAGGAACACCAAGTAGGGAGTCCCTGAAAAGAAAATGATCAGATTCTTCCTCAGATGGCACTTTTATTTGGAACCTTCCTGCATATTCTTGCTCAACATAGGGTATGGTAATTCTTGAAGGAGGGTTTCTGGCTGCACAAGGGGTGAAGCCACCCTTTGAACATCTGTACTTCCCATATGTTCTTCCCCTGAAAGTGCTGTGCTCCAGCCTAGTGCTGATCGGCCCACACAGTGGTAATCGGGGAACAGCGATGCCAGAGCATGTGCACCCAATTAAGGGCACTGCGGCCCACACATCCATCATGGCTGTTGGCAGTGTGACCTCACATCCTCAGAGCCTCGTGCACGCAATCTGGCAGAGGTGAGTGCCCTGCTGCATTCCACTCTCAAAACACCCATCCTTGTCACCTTCAGCTTGCCTGTCAGAAACCTTGCCTGTCAGAACGGTGAGCAATAGCTCAGAGAGGTGAACTGGGCCCATGATGACTAACAGGTGCTTGATTGCTGACACTGGCACAATTTGGAGACCCTCAAAAAATACATCTTACACAGTTCAAGTCACTTGGAAGGTGGATTTAATGAGGTGGAGCTGTATGAATATTGACGTCTTAGCTCAAGTTAAACATGCATATACAACCATTTGTGCAAAATCTCCTTTAGCCAGCTGCGAATATGGCAGAAAACTTTATTTAGGAGTGGAAAAAACATTTAGATTAAAATACAGTTACAAAGAAAGAAATGTAGGCACCTCATATCTACATTTAGACACTATCATTTCTAATGTTTTTTTTTTTTTGCTCACCTACATTAAGGCAAAGAAGACAGAAAAACAACATCATTCATGTATTCATCCATTTATTCATTAATAGTGAGTTTTTTGTTCAACTTACAATGGGCCTGGCACTGTTTGAATCCCGGAGTAAGAGTTCCTGTTTCCATGTTGCAGAAAATGTAATGAGAAGCAGAAGAGAAAAGATATCATTATTTTTTCTAATTAACATTCACAATAGAACAGAAAACAATAACATATTCCTCTCAGATCAGTTCATATTATCTTATGTCAGCAAAGAGAAGAATAGGAAGAAGTCTATGCTTACAGCTGAAAGCTCCAAAGGATACTTAGATCCAAGGGTCTGGAAGGAAAGAGTCCTTGCGATTAGTGTTATAAACAGCAATTCTTGATCTGAGCCTGGGAGTAAGGGGCTGGGAGAGCTGTCTCACAAATGCAGTTAGAACTAAGCCTTTTAAAGAATTATTTTTTTCAGGGACAGCAAACTGCTTAAATGCATTTTCTAAACAGATTTAAAAATGAACAGCAGGAGGATATCTTATCACATCACTGCTTTACCCAGCTTTACGATCGATAGATTTCACTGAAGTTTGCTATTAAGTTTAGTTGTTGGAAAAATAAAGGATGGCAGGGTTTTAGATGAAAAAGAGCAGGTCACAGGGGAACTGGACTTTCAGGCAGGTGGAGCAGCAAAGGCATGGGGAGGCACATCCAAGTTATCAGGCTGGGTTCGTGGATGAAAATGCACCTCAAGGACAGTGATGGATTTTGCTCACAAGCTTCATTAGGCATCTCAAGGATGTGATAGAGCTTGGAGAGCTGCGCAAGCATTGCTTCTCAAGGTCTCCCTGGTAATTCTCGTTGGTTGACAGTGGCAGCCAGCAGCACTTGACAAGTGAGATATCCACATGGTCCTAGGAGCCTTTGGCAAAGGGGGTCCCAGGCTCTGGCCTTCTCAGTCCCATAAAAACCATACTGTTGCCTGGAAATGGTTCGTGCTTCCATGTAAACCAGTAATGCTACTCTTTATCAAGCCACATTCTTGGGCCTAATTTTCATGTTTTTTTCCTGAAATTCGTACATAGTCATGCATTACCTGTTTCTGCATTGTTAGGACCTAGATATTTTCCATCTGTGTTTGTCCACAGTCATGTTTGGACAAGGTCTGCCATAACTATGAAAGGATAACAAAAAGAATAAAAATAATTGAGTACTAATGATAATCATAACTAATATTTTCTGAGAATTTATGTGAACCAGGCTTTATTTTGAGCATAATATCTATGGTAGGTATACAGTATTAAAATATCTGTTTTATGGATATGGAAACTGGAGTTCAGAGAGGCCAGAAATGTATTCAAGTTTGCACAGCAAGTCATGGTTAGAGATTGGGCCTAGCTGGAGTCTGAGTGTGGATTGGAAAGGCAGGAACCATATTATGAAGAGCCCTGTGTACCCTACCACAAGGATGGCACTTATTCTTTAGGTAAAGGGGAGCTACTTAGGAGGTGTAAGAGAAGTGACATGTTCATATACAAACTGGGATGGCAGCCATTGCAAAATGGAGTCTTATTTTTTTTTTTTTTTTGAGATGGAGTCTTGCTCTGTTGCCCAGGCTGGAGTGCAGTGGCACAATTTTGACTCACTGCAAGCTCTGCCTCCTAGGTTCACGCCATTCTCCTGCCTCAGCCTCCCAAGTAGCTGGGGCTACAGGTGCCCGCCAGAATGCCCGGCTAATTTTTTTTTTTTGTATTTTTTTAGTAGAGACGGGGTTTCACCGTGTTAGCCAGGATGGTCTTGATCTCCTGACCTCGTGGTCTGCCCGCCTCAGCCTCCTAAAGTGCTGGGATTGCAGGTGTGAGCCACTGCGCCCGGCTACAAAATTGAGTCTTAAAGAAGATAAATAATTTTTTCAAAGGTTACATACCTAGTGAATGGTAGAGCTAACACATTCAAGTATTAATACAACGCCAGCATGTTAAACTGTTATATACTACGGCTTCGTTTCACCCAAGACATGGAATAAAGGGTCAAATAGGCAGGTTGTCTTCCCAAGGAGTAGAAACTATTGTTTCTCATTGCAGCACTCCAGGGGTTAGTAATTCTGGGTACTTACCTGTGTGGTGTGGGGGTGACACCAGGATCTGCACTGGCATATAAGCTATTAATAGCCTCCAAGCTACGTTCTGCCTGAGCGATATTTAGGTGGAATTTAAGGACCACATGGGTGAAGCTGTATTGAGCTGAACTGACTCATATGAATTAACATCAGAAGGGAAGTAAGATAAATCAATGTGGGTGACTATTTTAAAAATATTTTCATTAATGTTGAGATGATTTTGAAAATAAGCAATTATTATTTGGTATTAACATATTTCATTATGAGCAAGAACTAAATATTCACTTATACACAGATTCTTATCAATATCTGGAGAATGTATGGGCAATGTCATTTTGCCTAGTTATTGTCAAGGTACTAGACTCTAAAGCTTTGCTACATCCCTTTACTGTCTGCACATCACATCCACTTTGCAAAGGTCAAATATGTCATGTTAGTTTCATACCTTAGATCCAAAATTTGTTTCTTGCTTTCAATTTTGTCAAGGATGATAAGGCAGTCATGATTTAAGAATGGGGGATTTTGGGTTTTGGTGTCAGAATTCTGACACTCACAGAACAGCATGAAATGCCAGTTTATGTCAAACTCATAAGTGTGTGTATAAATGGTAGAAAGTGATTTCTTCAGAATTTTTGCTAAGAAATATCCAAATTGAATGAAGGTAATCCAGGTAAATATCATTGACAAGAGAAACCTATGTGTCAGCACAGCATCTGTTAAGAGCATTTATCTCATATTTTCACTGAGCCCCCAACCCCCCCAAATAAAGAAAAGTGAAAAGAGTAAAACCAATATCACCTCCGACTTTCTTTTTTATGATTAGTAAATCTCATGAAACTCGGAATGGGATATATCGTTTTTCACCTAATTACTCTTATTAGCCTGCTCTTAGTTAATTGTGGTTCTCAGTTCTAAAATAAGCAGCCAGCTACCATTCACATTGGATGCACAGGACCAGGATTGCAGGTTAGTTCAGGAGGTAACATGGAACAGACCTGTGCACCATGCAAGCAAGTACTCATGTGAAATCAACTACGGAAGAGGAGAGGAAACTAAGTCAGGCAGAAAGGCTGTATGAAAATAGTGTAGATTCTTTATCTAGTAAGATATAGTGACGACTATATCAGGAAAACAAATAAAAGAAAAACTGTGAAAATTCACAATTATGAGGGAAGCAGGAAGAAAGACAAAGTTGCCATCCAGAAGAACTGACATGAACATGGTGTGGTATTAGTGTTTGGATGGGCTGGAATAAAAGATTTGCTGTGAAATCAAAGCATCAAATAGGAAAGAGAGGACACTTGGAATTTTGCAAACTAGACACACTCACAAGGTCAAGGTAGGAGCTCAGTTACTGAGCTTGGGTTAGAGTATAGATTTAGAGTTATTACAGAGGAATGCTGGATTTTGAAGTTGTTCTCCTTAGGTTTTTGCTGTTGGAAATGTAGGAACTATGCCTTGAGTGTGGTCAAAGGAATCAAGCTATATGGATTGGAGTGATGTGGAGAAGAGTGTCAAGTAGGTAATTTAAGATCAAGAATAAATATATTAGGTCAATGTTTTTCATAGAGAGTTCAGTGGAAGCCATTATCCTTCAACGTGTTCTGAAATCAAATATCTTGGAAAATTTGGGGTCAAGCAAAATTAAAATTGGATATGCTTTTTAACCACTTGACATTCCAAAGAATGTTTAAGGATGAAATTTATTAGGTGTTTAGCATTTCTAAAATGCACGTGTCCATAAAGTCTTAATTTTTTTTTCTTCCAAGGAAATCATTTCCCAATCTCTGTCATATGTCCCAAACGAGCTTTAGGGAACATCTCCACATGACGAGGAAAGCCTCAGAAAATACACTACTGAGACTAGAAAGCCACCCTCAAGGAAGGAGCGTTAGAACGAAGCCCACAGTGCAATGCCTTCCACTGACTGCGACACTGTCAGATGCACAGATCCCCCTCTACTCCCCCATAGCCAGGACATCCGGAAGCATGTTATCTGTCCTAACCTTTGCATGACTCAGTCCACCCACCACCCTCACTCACTTTCTTCCCACTGCTTTTTGGGATTTCTAACCTGCTTTCAGCAAATGCCCTTATCTCCTCTTTTCATCTTCTTCATTTCACTGAAAGCTGAATGTGTACTTGGAAACTCACTCTCCATGAAGCCCTCACAGCTGGAGGACTTTTCTTTAGCTCCTTGCATACCTAAGGTTAGGGTAACTGTCTCAGCTCCAATTTATTTCTGCTTTCTTTTATTAAAAATCCCTTGCTCTTGATCTTTCTCTCCTCCTCTTGATGAAATCTTGATAGACTCCTGGGAATAAAGAACCCAACTCAAACCATGCTTTTCTCAACGTTGAACAGTCTAAATTACGGCTCAGATTGATTCTTCCCTTCACCATCCAAGCTTTGACATTAATGTTGTGACTTCAACATTCTCAATGATCTTGGCCTCGAGTTCATCTCTCATTAGTTCTTCCTCTTTTCCACTGCAGCCTTCCAGTCTTTTGGCGCGCCCAAATTGTGCTATCTCCTTCCAGTTTCTTACACTTCCTATCCTTCCAGCTCAAATGCTTAAACACACCTCTAAGTGCAGTTTGACTTTTTGATGCTATGGTTAAAACACTGGTTTCAAACCCACATGCATAGTATAATTACCTAGGGAGCTTTTAAATAAACATGAATTTCAATAAAGCAAAAGTTAAAACCACAATGAGATATCACTCACAGTCAGGGTGATAGCTAAATTTTTTTAAAAAATGGTAACACCAACGGTGGGCAAGACTGTGGAGAAATGAAACTCTCCGTATTCCTAGAATTGGAACAAGTACTTTGGAAAACTCTGTCAGTATCTCCTAAAGCTTAACATACACCTACCCTAGCACTCCACAATTCCAATCCTGGGTATGTACTCAAGGAAAATATACGCATATGTCCACCAAGAGATGTATGAGAAAAGCTCACAGCATCATGATTTATAACAGGCTTCAAATGTAAACAAACTACATGTCTATCGAGAGGAGGATAGCTAAATAAAAAATTGTGGTATTCATTCTATACAACAATTTAAGGGAACAAACTACAGATAAACAACAAGGATAAATTTCAAGACCTTATGTGGAGTGAAAGAAGCCAGATGCATTAAGAATAAATATTCTTTTTCTCTTTAGCCTCCTCCCCATGTCCTTTCCCCATTTTTACCCCTTTGTGCCTCTTTCTTTACGTTTTCGACTTAGATGGTGAATCATTCCCTTTTCATTTGGATGCATCTGAAGAAGTCTTTGAATTTCTGCAGGTGAAGAAGGACTGAAGAAGAAAGAAGCTGTCAGCAGTTTGATTTCAGAATAAATCATCTCTATGACTATCAAACCTATTAAACTACCAAGATGAGAACCTCTTAACTGAATTTCAGTGATTATTGTTCTACAAATATGTGATGTTTCTTGACTTTGCAACACATTACAAATGGCACTCAATCCCAGAAAGAGGCAAGTATTTCCCATATAATGAGGAGGTGAAAAAAGAAAATGTTGTGGTGCAGAATTCCAATAAACATTCAGGCATATGCTAATATCTCTCATCTAAAAATGCAATATTCTCTTTATCTACCACTTCTGGTTATTGTCTTCATTTTTATCCTTCCCTTCAGAGCCTAACTTCTTTGTATTATATTTACATGCTTTCTCCCCCAATTCCCCTTCTCCACACATCAGCTTCAATTCACTATCAATTCACTCTGATTTGGCTTGCATTTCCAATGCTCCACTGAAGTTCTCTGATGAAAGGTTGACCTCCATGTTGAAAACTCTCAATATCACTCCTCTGCACAGGTTATTTCTCTTACTTGTAACACTCACTTCTCTTGGCTTCAACTGCGCATACTCATAGTTCTCTTCTTACATCATGGGTCACATGTTGTCTTCTTTGCTTACTTTTCTTTCTCTAAGCAACTCCAGAATGTACATGTACCAATAGATCCTATGCCTAAGCTCAATACTTCTCAGTTTCAGTGTACACTCTCCAGGCGATCCCTTTTCTTCCAAGGTCATAAGTGCCATAAATAGGTTAGCTCTTCCCAATTTCACAGAGAGGGCCACATAAACCTCTCCTCTGAACTACAAGTTCATGTATCTTTGATATCATCTCACAGTTGGGTTATAAAAATCTCAACTTTCATATGTTCAAAGTTAGGCATGATTTCTCATGCCTACATATGGTACCATCAATTCCTCAGGAGTCTAAGCCAGAAAAATAGACACTATTGTTTATCATTTTCTGTTACCCACACAGACTGTACGTGTAAATCTTATTCATTTCATCATATGTGTGCATGTGTGTCTGTGTGTGCCTACATTCTCCCCCTTTACACAGCCATCACCAAAGTCCCAACTATTGACTGTATTAGTTTGTTCTCACATTGCTAATAAAGATATGCCTGAGACTGGGTAATTTATAAAGTAAAAGAGGTTTAATGGACACACAGTTTCAGATGGCTGTGGAGGACTCACAATCATGGCAGAAAGTGAAGGAGGAGCAAAGTCACCTCTTATATGGTGGCAGGCAAGACAGCTTGTGCAGGAGAACTTCCATTTATAAAACCATCAGATCTCATGAGACTTATTCACTACCAGGAGAACAGTATGGGGGAATTGCCTCCATGATTTAGTTATCATAACCTTGCCCTGCTCTTGACATCTGGGGATTATTACAATACAAGGTGAGGTTTGGGTGGGGACACAGCCAAACTATATCACCATCTCTCACTTTAACCTGCTGTCATATCTAAAGCATGTGTGCACTGCATAACTTACCTAGCTGCGCATGGTGGCAGTACATATCTCTGCCTAATTGGTCTCCATGCTTCCACTCCTGGCCTTCTCTAAATCATTCAATATTGGAGAGTCAGAGCAATCTTTTAAAAATGTAGATCATGTTACTTCTTTGCTTAAACTCCCCTATAGCTTCCATTTGCTCTGAGAATGAATTCAAAATCCCTTTCCATTGTCTACAGACTTCCTAGTTGCTCTTGCTACTTCTTCACACTCATCTCTTCCTGCTCTTGCTCTTCCCTCTCTTCTAGCCATGCTAGCAATCTTTTGGATTGTTGAATAGACCAAACTCCTCCTTAAAGAAAGGCCTTTGTATATATTGAATTTCCTCCCTTAAATGCTCATCCCTATGCCGTTTGCGTAACTGTTAACCTACTTAGCCCAAAGGCCAAAGCTTATCCCTTACAACACTTACCTATTCTCCTTCCAGTTATTCTCTGCCACAGAATTTTATTTCTTTTTAAGATCTTCATATCCTTTATATTCACGATTGTGGCTCCATTGTGTAGCACTGTGCATTACATGTGGCAGAGATTTGTTAGGTATCTCTTAATTGAGTAAATGATTTCTCAGGATACTGATACAGCATCTTTTGAGGAAAACTTAGAAAACTATGACTCTAAATTTCAGTAAAGTACGTTTGTCTTGGTCAATTTTATTTGGGATAGCAAAAATTATTCCAAGTTTTTTGAGGAGAGCAACTTTTTGTTTGGAAGATGGTCAGGGTGTAAATTATTTCACTTGTCCATTCAGTGGGAGTTTCTGAAGAGTCTCTTTTCTTACGTTAAAAAAACAACTTCACACAGTTTACAAATGATAAATATGTCTATATATAAAAAATGCATATGGATTATTTGACATTTTGGAAGTAGATTATAAACAGATATTCTTATTATTTTTAGATCTGTGGTCAAAAGTGAATTCAGTTTAAATTTTGATCCCAATTGGAGAATATCTGACTTTTTCACAATTTTTAAAATTGATGCATAATAATTGTACATATCTATGGGGTGCATGTGATATTTTGATACATGTACACAATGTGTAATGATCAAGTCAGGATAATTGGAATTTCCATTTCCTCAAACATGTATCATTTCTTTGTGTTAGGGATGTTCCGTATCCTCTATTCTAGCTATTTTGAAGTACACAATGAATTATTATTAAGTATAGTCACCCTACTGAGCTATTGAACACTAGAACTTATTCCTTCTCTCTAACTGTATTTTTGTGCCCATTAACCAACCTCTCTTCATCTTCTTCTTCCTCCTATTCTTTCCAGCCTCTGGTAACCATCATCTACTTTGTACCTTCATGGGATCCACTTATCTAGCTCCCACATATGGCTAAGAACATGTGATATTTTTCTTTCTGTGCCTGGCTTGTTTCACTTAACATAATGACTTACAGTTCTATCAATGTTGCTGCAAATGACAGGTTTTCATTCTTTTATGGCTGAAGTTGTTTCATTATTTTTATATGCCACATTTTCTTCATTCATTCTGCCAATGAATGGTAGATTGACTCCATATCTTGGCTATTGTGAAGAATGGTGCAATGAATATGGAAATACAGAAATCTCTTTGGCATACTGATTGCACTTTCATTGCATATATATCCAGTAGTGGGGTTGCTGGATCATATGGTAGTTCTATTTTTAATTGTCTGAGAAACCTCCATACGGTTTTCCATAGAGGCTGTGCTAGTTTACATTTTCACCAACAGTGTACTAGTGTACATTTTCTCCACATCTTCACCAGTATCTGTTGTTTGTTGTCTTTTTGATAATAGCCACTTTAACTGCGGTACGATGATAAAAGTTATATAATTGTATAAGTAAATTTATAAAAGCTTGTTAATGCAGCTATAGAAACATTCAGATTATGCGCAGTGACAATAATAATAGAATGTTCTCAGAATTTCAGATTTATTTTTATAGTATCTAAACAGACTAGCATAGATTATGAGATCCTTGCATTGGCATAAACACTCCTGAGATCCCTGTACTCTCTCTCTAGTTGAGGGAAATTCAAACTCTTAGTGAATTTTGTATTATGTTGTAGTAGAAGACTTTAAAGGTCCACATAATCTCTTTGAATTCATAACTAACATTTTAAATCAGAGTTAAATATACTGCCAAAAATCATCTTTGGACAAATACTGTATGACTGCATTTATATGAAGTTCTACAGAAAAGAAATTTATGGAGAAAAATTCAGAAAAGTGATTTCCCTCAAGGACAGGATTTGACTTGGAAGAGGCACAAGGAGAATTTCTGGGAAATGAAAACATTCAAAGTCTTGATAGAAGTGTGAATTACATGAGTATATCCTTTTGTCAAACTTTATCCGATGTACTTTTTCTAAGTGAAAGAGACAGTTTGTTTTGAACAATCATATACATAGTATTTCACTTAATATTTTTAGTCCATTACTATGTATGGAAATATACAAGATAAAAAGAAACATTGCATATACCCAAGGTAAGGATGCAGGAGGGACAGGCATTATACATTGATATATATCCATCAAAGCCTTAGAACTATCAAAGGACAGAGTACATTTACATTAATTTATGTAAATCTTAAATGAACTATTAACAAACATTGAACTGTAGTTACTTTTTCATTGTTTTATTTTCACTGATATGAATGAACAATTTTGAAAGTTTTTCCTGTATATTCTAAGATGGAGCAAATTAGTTATATAGAGAATAGTAGGAGACATATTTTCTCACTGTTAAAGAAGAGAGTTACAAATATGTAAAGGGGAAAGGCTAGCATGTTTGGTATAACGTCAGATTGGTTTTGGCAGTATTAGCATCAGACATTTGTATATCTGTAACTATATCCACATCTATATCATCTTTATCTTAGCTATGTCTGCTGAAAGGGGCTAGAAGCAATGCCACATCAGTAACAATGAGCACATCTAGCATCCTGATCTTAGTTTCTGGATGTCAGTACTTAGGGAAAGGGATCATGACTCTTGGACTGGGGCATCAGGGAAACAAGATAAGTCTAGAATATCTTACTCCACTGGAAGGGAAGAAAGTGTTCAAAGAATGACGGGAACATAGAAAAAGAACACTGCAAACTGGCAGAGGCTTCACTGGCCAAATCTGGAATAATTTTAGCATCAAGATAAATAATACTAATAATAGATTACAACTCATAGAAAAGTAAAAATCCAAAGGTTGTGTTGATATAAGTGAATAAATAAATAAATGAAAAATGATTTGGGGGAATTAACTTGAATGGTCATTATTTTAGTGTTTAATTTATTTTTAGCTAATACAAATATTTGTTTTACTAATAACTCAAATACTTGTTTATCTAGCACTTACTCGTTCTTCAGTGTTCCATGGTATATGTGAAGAGTATTAGGCATGGAAGATATTAGGCTTTAATTGGAAAGTAAAATTTCCATTGCTTTAGTTTAAAAAACATGTGCTCTATATTATATTAAAAATGCTGTTCACTATAGAATGGAAATCAGTCTGAAGGCAAGTAGCCAAAATAGAAATTCTTCAATGTATGTAAATGTACTAACAATATAATGTAATAGAATGAAATCTATATGGTATTAATGTGTGAATGGATGTTAAAGACAATGAAAGTCTTCTGCATTCATGTTAGGGTATATTAATATATTTAAATGGGAAAAATGTATTACCCAGTATCTGGATATTAGTTTATCTCATTAAAGAGTGGTGGAGAGTATTCTTGGTCCTTTTCTTCCAATTTTGTTTCCCCTTAGCCAGTGAGAGTCTGTTTGATTGGATGGTGTCTGCACTGAGGGGAATTGACTACTGCTCTGATTACCCACTTTGTCAAATGTCACTTGCAATCAATTTGGCTGATGGATAGGGTCTTCAACTCTGATGAGAGAATCTGTTTTGTCAGTGTAGCAGAACACGGGGATGCATATCAGTGCCATCATACTTGTTCTATATTTGCAAGAGAAGAATATAAACATAAACAAATGTGCTTTGCTGGCATAAATAATAAGAGATAAACTGAAACATGAAATCTTGGAACTACTTTATCACTGGTCTACTAAACTAATCTCAATCTTAAACCCAAATTACTGTGGCTCAACCCCAAGGAAAGCAACTTGGTTATTACTGATTGAAACATGTATACAAACATGTTTTAACTCAGGTCTAAAAATATGGAGATTTGTGGAGTCATATCCATTTGCCTTTGCACCTGTCTATAAAATATTATTTTAATTGCTTTACCACTGGATAAGAGAAAGTCATTTTTATTCATCCTGAATCCACCTATCATTTAAGGCCCAGCTAAGTTTTCATCAGCTCTGTAAAAGGTCTCTGATCTCCCAATCTATCTGAATTTTATCATGTCTCTTGTTTGTCCATCTGAAATATTGTTTATTACATGTTCTGTCTTGAATGACAGTCTTTTTCTGTGTATTTCTTCCTCTGGTTGGGTATTTTACAATGCCAAATAACCCAAGTGTAATATTTATTAACCATATAAATAAATAAATAAATAAATATAAAAAGCTCAAGAGATTTCCTGTGTACATGGCTTATATATCTGATATCCAAAATATGCATTCAGCATCCTGTATAAATCTTGCAATCATGAACCAAAATGATTTTAATGAGCTTTACTTTTTGTAGTACAAATTCATGCAACCAAACAAAACCATCATAATTTACTATTACTCTTCATTCATACTATTATAGCCACTCTTATTTACTAGAATTAAATAATATAAAATTACCTTCACAAAACTACTCATAGAATTTCTTGTCTTCACTCAAGCTGTGCTCTTGGTAGGAGGTAGGTCTTCCTAACCCTACCCACCCCTCACCAGGCCACAGGGGAACTAATTAACTCCTAATCATCATTAACTCCTAATTAACCCTCCATCTTACCAAGTTTTGCTATTCTCATAGCACCTACCTGAATCATTTTCGTATAACCTATCCTCAGTGAACATTTTCCTCATTGAACACAATTATGAGTTTTACTGCATCTTACACAATCCTAATAAAAGTCTCTTATCAAAGGTGGATTTTCAGAAATCTTTGAAGTATTACTATGTTTTAAAATAATCATTCCTGATTCTGTATGTATTTTTGGGGAAAATATTTCTTTTCATCTATTCGTAAGTGAAATATTTTCACCAAAAGGCAAAGGCAGACTGTCACAGAAAACTGCATACAGGATGCCTGCCAAAGAGTTTCAGCTTTCTCACTGGGGCAGTTAATAAGCTAATGAACCCAAATGTAAAGTGAATTTTTCTAATGGCCTTGATAAAGTGGGCAGAAAAAGAAGGGTTGAATTGATGGAGAAGCAAGTTTAACAGTGCCCCCTTGTCAAATGGACATGTGGCAAGCAAATTTGAAGTGCAGTGTGAGGTTTTGTAGCCTATGATACTGACATTTATTCAATATAGCATAGGAATATATATTTTATAAATTATAAATTAGGGGATAAATTCATTTGGAATCAAAGCTTTATTTGTAAATAAATCAACATCTAAATAATATGCAAATACAGGGATAGCAATTAAGCTTTATTTTGCAGGAAAGCATGGCAATATAGGCAGAGTGGTTTGGAGTTCTCTGCATTGAAGGAGAGGAGGATCACCAAAGATTTTCAAACTCTTTTCCAGAGAGAACCTTGTGGGAGTAGGTTAGCATGTCAACTTAAACCAAAGCAAGATCCTATATAATAGTATGTTTGGTTTTCAACTGAAGAAAGGAATTCTACTTCACTTATAACACTAAAGCACTGAGAGCCACAGTTTACTGAAACTTAGGAAAACGTTTAGAAAATGATTCTAAATATTTTTTTGGCTCACAAATTTTATTTTATTATAAAATATTATCTTGTGATTATTCTAAAGAATTCCAAAAGTATTTCCTCATGTTTGTATATGAAAAGCTTAAGAAATTACTTTTTTAACAATTTTTTAATATAGAAAAGATTGTTACATACTTTAAAATTGTATTTTAATGTTATTTTATACTATTTTCACAAGTTTTAAAAATAACAGGAAAAATGATGTTGCCTTTCTTCTTTTTTGGAAAGTAGCATGCACTATCTAATTTAACTCAGAGTAGCAATATCAGAAAAATATGATTTACTTAAGTATATATCCAAAAACAACCCACTCTATTATGTTTAATGTGAATTATCTATTTGATGGGCCATCTAAAATGGACCAGCATAGATTTATACCATTATGGACATAAATTCAACTAAGAATGAGATTAACTGAAAATTATATAAGGGTCAAAACGACCGAGAAAGTTTATCCATGTCAAACCAATGTTGTCACTGAATTTTCTAACCTTCTAGAGACACATTTGTTAAGTTTCCACATTGTACTGCTTTAAGAGATTAAAAACAAATAAATGCTTATTTTACTAGCTGATTAAAGAAATGAAATCAAACAACATCCTTGTCTTCCTTAATAGAGATACCCCTTAGGACTCCCAAACAGTGGTTGAGGATGCTGTTGTAAACCATTTTGTGCCCTTGCTCTGGATGGAGAGTGTTACCATGACAGTGGTGCTCCATGGGTTAAAGGTTAGGTGGTGAGGGAAATTAGCAGAAATAACAAAATAGCTAATCATGAAGTTCTATGCCTTTGGAGAAACCGTTTATGACTGCATTATGGGAGCAGAGGAGATTGCAGTTGAAACACTATTAAATAATAAAACAAACAATATATGCCCCATGTGATAAGCAAAGCCACATTCCCATCTTTTTCTGCAAGTGGGAAGCCTGGGTTTGACCGAGCGAAAACTCTTCTTGTTTGATGTGGAAAGAGAGGAAGTGCTGTAATACTAAACAGAATTTTGTGATGTCCTATGTAGTATTTCTGAAAAGCATCTTAAATATAAATTTATATTTAGACATGTGCATAAAGGGTTTCACAGCAAATATCTAGTTTATTAGATGGCAGAATGTATAGTCTTTCAATGAGGAAGAAAACTGTCCAAAAGTGGCAACATGTATTAACCCATATCAAGTAATAATCTGGTTGTAGATTTGGAATATTATTTATAAAGGACGTATTTGTTGGTTTGTTTTAGGTCACCTTTGAATCTTGCTAATTTAGAGGAAATATAATGAGCTATTCAGAAATGAATTACTTTGTGGCACAGTGGGGTCTAGTGCCCTGTAGTGCTGCAGCTGACTTGGCAGCTCCCCAAATTGTGGCCTGATTTAAAACCTTACTTACTCTATCAGAAATGTGAAGCCAAGATGGAGAGAGACAGGGAGCTGACACAGAGGCTGTGGAGCCCAGAAGAGAGGCATCAGCACAAAAGGGAACTGCCGTCAGCTAGGCATTAGCTTTCTTCTGATCCATTGGTGGGTTCGATCACAGGAATGAAGGCTGGTCTACACATGGTTGACTTTTCTGTAGGTAACTTTAGGCTTGTTTTTAGAAAGTTTCTCATCATCCTAACTCAGAGCCAGAATGTGCTGGTAAAGACAGTGTCTTTATCATCTTACTATGAATACAAATGACTTTTCTCACAAAATGAGCATTTCCTGCAAAAAAAGAGAAGAGAATGCAGCTAAAAATAAACCCAAAGAATATACATACTAAATATTTTCATTTTCTTCCTTTAGCCTTTTTTATCTTATGTACAGCGTTGTGTTGTATGGTAGAATTAGTTTCATCGTTGAAAAGGTAGTAGAAGGACTCAGGACCAGACCTAAAAATCAACAGAATATATAATAGATTGACTAATGCTTTTGTCTTTTGGCGTAGTAAGTTAATATGTTATATTTTCTGATTTACATATTTCATTGCAATGGAATTGTTGACATCCTTTTGTTCCCCATATAAGAATTAAAAAGTCTTTCCCAATCTGAAAATTATACATGTGTTTGTGCATGTATATGTGTGTATTCACACTTAGATTCTGTAATAAAAATGATTTGTTCTTATTTTCTATTAAGGAAAGCTATAAAATATATTAAAATCAGTATATGCATTTCTCTGCAACAAATACTCTGAATCTGACTAGGAAATACTTCTCATGATTGTTTGATTAACCCGCTTTCTAGGTGTATGTAGCCATATAAAGAAATTGCATATTTAACTAAAACCATATAAAGAAAATAAGCCATATAAAATTATATAAATCATGTAATTACTATGAAATAATATTCATCTTTATTGCAAAACATAGACTTTTCATATGGTATCAAAAGGACTATGTGTACTTTAAAATGCATTCTATATTATGACAATTTTAATAATTATTAACAATTATATGCTTATCTAGGTTATATTTGAAATATGTAAACAAGGGTTCCCAAATATTCATAAACATACTGATTTTATCTAAAAAGTTTAAAACATTTCTTTTCATTTAAGAAATATTTTCTTATGGCGCCAGATCATGAGGAAATATTAATGTGATCTAATTTAACTCTATGTTATAAAAAAAATAAATGACTATTATTTATAAGGTTTAAATTATGGAAGCCACCTCATTACTCTAAAAAATAGTTTGATATGTTTTAGTATTATATTAAAAATATTACATTAAAAACAATAACTTATATTTTACTCTATTATTTAAATAGAAGTTTTTACTTTCTGATATTTTTGTATCATTTCATTTAGTTCGATTCTGTAGATAAACGTATTAGACACTTTTTTACCTTTTATCTAATAATATACTTTAAGTTATATAGCTTTTCAATCAAGTTTCTAACACAATTTATCAGTCCACAGTTTTATCAGTACATCCTGACTTTGATAGGTATGGAAACAGAAAACAAAAAATTATCTTTTGATATGTTTAAAAAAGTGCAGCTCACCCTAGTGACGTGACTTTTTCCAGTATTGGATAGATACGTAGCCCTTTTTATTGGAAAACATTTATAATAATGCGCAGTATTTCAAATAAAAGCAGTACGATCAACTAAATATAATCATATTCATTTTACTTGGAAGTGAAATCACTTTTTTGTTTTGAGATAGAGTTTTGCTCTTGTTGCCCAGGCTGGAGTGCAATGGTGCAGTCTCGGCTCACTGCAACCAACCTCCGCCTCCCGGTTACAAGCGATTCTCCTGCCTTAGCCTCCCGAGTAGCTGGGATTACAGATGCCTGCCACCACTCCCGGCTAATTTTTTTTGTATTTTTAGTAGAGGCAGGGTTTCAGCATGTTGACCAGGCTGCTCTTGAATTCCTACCTCAGGTGATCCGTCCGCCTCGGCCTTTCAAAGTGCTGGGATTACAGGCGTGAGCCACCTCGCGGCCAACGAAATCACTTTTTAAAAAGACCATAGGACATTTAAGACTAATGTATCAGTCATGTATGATATATTCCTACTATATTCGTTAACATGGAGAAGGGAGTAAGGAAAGATAGCATAATAAAAAGCTAAACTTTTGTTTGCTTTAGAACCATTAGTATTTAAACATTTGTTGAGTACTATTAGATCTCTCCATGTACCTATTTAAATAACAAATTTGCTGTCTCATGGTCTTGTGTAATAGCTGCTGTATGAGCTTGAATAGAGAAATCCTTTTATCTGTATGACATTAAGTTTGCATTTTCAAAATAGTCAATCACTTGCTGGTTATTAACTTTTTTTGCAAATTAAATGTGTTAAATATATGAAGCATAAGTTATAATAAATTCCCTGCTACTTTAAGTCAGTAGTGTGCCAAACAGAATAAAATGGTATTGGAACTTAGTAGTGTAAATGAAAAGCTGCGGTTTAACCATAAAATCCAAATACTGTATAACGTGCAATACACATACGTATGTAAAATGGAAGTAAGCATATAATTAATATTCGTATTCCTGGTTCTCAAGGAAATGAAAACGTACAAACAATAATAAAACATTATTTTCACCATACAGTTGGGAGATTTTAAAAAATATCATAGTCAGTGAGTGAAATAGATTCTGTTGTATTGCTGGTGAAATACACTTTACTCTTTTTGGAAGCAGTGTAATAAGATATGGAAATATTCTCAACAAAGTTACAAATATTGACTGACTGTAGTACATTGTTATTGGCTATAGTCACCATATTGTCCAATAGATTTCTTGAACTTATTCTTCCTCTGTAACTGACATTTTGCATCCTTTGATTTTCCCAACCCCACCCACTGATCCTCCAAACTTTGGTAACCCCCATTCTATTCTCTACTTCTGAGTTGGATGTTTTAGATGCCACATGTAAGTAATATCATGCGGTATTTGTCTCTCTGTGCCTGGCTGATTTCACTTAACATAATGTCATCTGGGTTCATCCATGTTGTTGGAAAAGACAAGATTTCCTTCTTTTTTAAGAGTGGATAGTATTCCATTGTATACTACATTTTCTTTATTCATCCATCCATCAATTGACACTTTGGGCTGATTCCATATCTTGGCTATTGTGAATGATGCTGGAGTGAACATAGGAGTTCAGATAACTCTTTAACTTACTGATTTAATTTCCTTTGGCTATATACCGGTAGTGAGTTGCTGGATCATATGGCAGTTCTATTTTTACTTGTCTGAGGGACCTCCATACTGTTTTCCATAGTGGCCATACTAATTTACATTCCCACCAACAGTGTACAAATATTTCTTTTTCTCCACATTCTCACCAACGTTTATCTTTTGCCCTTTTAGTAATAGCCATCCTAGCAGGTATGAGGTAGTAGTTTACTATAGTTTTAATTTGCATTTCTCTGATGATTAGTGATGTTAAGCAGTTTTTCGCATATCTTTTGGCCTGTTTTCTTTCTTTCTTTCTTTTTTTTTTTTTTTTTTTTTTTTTGAGAAATGTCAGTTCAGGTCCTTTGCCCATTCTCTAATCAGGTTATTTTCTTGCTTAAGCATTGCTTGAGTTTCTTATGTATTTCGGATATTAACTCCTTATCAGAAGTGATAATTTACAATTTTTTCTTACCATTCTCTGGGTTGTCTTATCACTGTGTTCGTTGTCTACTTGGCTGTGCAGAAGCTCTGTAATTTGATGCAATTCCATTTGCCTATTTTTGCTTTTTTGCCTGTGCGTTTGGGGTTACATCTAAAAAAGTCATTGACCAGACCAATGTTATAGAAATTTTCCCTTGTTTTTTTTTTCTAGTAGTTTTATAGTTCAAGGTCTTATATTAAACTCTTTAGTCAATTTTGATGTTATTTTTGTATATAATGTGAAATAGGGGTCTAGTTTCATTGTTCTGCATGTGGATTTTCAGTCATCACAACATCATTTATTGAAGAGATCATCCTTTCCTCATTTTGTGTTCTTGCAAACTTTGTCAAAAATCAATTGACCGTAAGTAGGCAGATTTATTTCTGGGCTCTCTATTTTACTCCATTGGTCTATGAGTCTGTTTCTATGCCACTACCATGCTGTTTTGATTGTTATAGCTTTGTAGTATATTTTGAAGTCAGTCAGTGTAATACCTTCAGATTTATTCTTTTTGCTCAAGAATGTTTTTGTTATTCCATGTCTTTTGTGATTCCATATAAATTTTAGATTTTTTTTTATATTTCTGTTTAAAAACGTCACTGAAATTTTGATAGGGATTGCAATGAATCTGTTCATTGCTTCCGTTAGTATGGACATTTTAACCATATTAATTATTTCATTCTATGAACATGAATCTTTTATATGTTTGTGTTTCTAATTTCTTTCATCAATGTTTTATAATTTTCAGTATACACTTCTCTCTTATTGGTAAGCCTTATTTCTGGTTTCTTGAGCCATTATAAATGGGATTGTTTTCTTATTGATTTTTCAAAGTGTTTATGTCAGTGTATAGAATCACTACTGACATTGATATGTTGATTTTGCATCCTGTCACTTTACTGAATTTGTTTATTATTTCTAAACAGTTTTTGGTAGAGTCTTTAGCATTTTCTGCATGCATATGATTATGTCATCTCTTCAAACAGGGACAGTTTAACTTCTTACTTTCCAATTTGAATGCCTCTTATTTGTTTCTCTTGTGTAATTTCTCTGGCTAGTACTTTCAGTAATATGTTAAATAGAAGTGGTGAGAGTGGACATTCTCTCTTTATGTACTGATCTCAGAGGAAAACTTTCAACATTTTCCTGTTGAGTATAACATAAGCTGTAGGTTTCTCATATGTATTAGTCCATTCTCATGCTGTGATAAATAACTGCCTGAGACTGGGTAATTTATACATGAAAGAAGTTTAATTGACTAACAGTTCTGCAGGGCTGGGGAGGCCTCAGAAAACTTATAATTCTGGCTGAAGGGGAAGCAAATGTATCCTTCGTCACATGGTGACAGGAAAGAGAAATGCCAAACAAGGTGGGGAAAGCCCCTATAAAATCATTAGATTTTGTGAGAACTCACTCACTATCACGAGATTAGCATGGGGGTAACCGCCTCCATTATGATTCAGTTATCTCCTACTGGGTCCCTCCTATGACATGTGGGGATCATGGAGACTACAATTCATGATGAGATTTGTGTGGGGACACAGCCAAACCCCATCATCATATATAGCCTTTATCGTGCTCAGGTATATTTCTTCTTTGCCAAATTAATCAAGAGTTTGTATCATAAAATGATGTCCAGTTTTGTCAAATGCTTTTTCTGCTTCTGTTGAGATTATCTTATAGTTTCTCTTCATCATTCTGCTAATGTGTTTGATTATATTTAAAGATTTTCGTATATTATTCCATTCTTTTATTCCTCGGATAAACCCTACTTGATCATAGTGAATGATATTTTTAATGTGCTGATGAATTCAACTTGTTAGTGGTTTGTTGAGGACTTTTGCACCTATGTTAATCAGGGATATTGGCCCATAATTTTTTTTTGTAGTGTCCTTTTCTAGATATTGTCCTAACCCAGTATCAGAGTAATGCTGGCCTTGTAAGATAAGTTTGGAAGCATTTCCTCCTCTTCAATTTTTTGGAAGAATTTGAGAATAATTGGTATTAATTCTTTAAATGTTTGGTAGAATTCAGCAATGAGGCCATTAGTTCCTCTACTTTTCTTTGATGAGAGACATTTTATTTTATTTTATATTTTTTATTCTTTAACTTTTAAGTTCGGGGTACACGTGTAGGACATGAATGTTTGTTACATAGGTAAACATGTATCATGGGGGTTTGTTGTACTGATTATTTTATCACCCAGGTATTAAGCCTAATGTCCATTAGTTATTTTTTGTCATCCTCTCCCTCCTCCAACTCTATACCCTCCAATAGGCCCCACTGTGTGTTACTCCCCTCTGTGTGTCCATGTGTTCAATGAGAGACATTTTATTACTGATTCGATCTCCTTACTCTTTATTGGTCTATTCAGATTTTTAATTTTTAAATCATTCTTGGTAGGTTGTATGTGTCTAAGAACTTATTTCTTAGACATATTTCTTCTAGGTTATCCAATTTGTTTATGTATCCTAGTTTAATGTAGACTTTTATGATCTACTTTATTTCTGTAGTATTAGTGTAACATCTCCTTTTTCATTTCTAACTTTATTTATAATTTTCTCTTTTTTCTGAATTAGTCTAGTTAAAGGTCTGTGGATTTTTGCTTATCGTTTCACATAGCAACTCTCTTTGTTTTTTATTTTTTTCTAGTTTCTATTGTATTTATTTCTGCTCTGATCTTTAATGTTGTCTTATACTATCTTTGGGCTAAGTTTGATGTTTATTTATTGATTTTCTGTTTGAGTAATCTATCCATTACCGAAAATGCAATATTAAAGTTCTCATGCTGTTAATGTGTTACAGTCTATCCCTCTCTTTGGAGCTATTAATATTTGCTTGATATATTTAGGTGCTCCAATATTAAGTGCATATATATTAATAATTGTTATATTCTCTTGATAAATTGATCCCTTTATTATTGTGTACTGACCTTTTTGTCTTGTTTGACAGTTTTGACTTCAATTTTATTTTACTGAAGCGTAGCTAACCTTGTTTTCTTTTTGTGTCCATATGCATGGAATATCTTTTCAGCCTTTACTTTAGTCTGTGTGTCCTGAAAGGTTAGGTCTCTGGTAGGCAGCATATTGTTCGGTCTTATGTTTTCATTTATTTAGCTACTCTATGTCATTTGATTAGAGAATACAATCCAGTTACATTTAAGGCAAATATTTATAGGTAACGATTTACAACTGATATTTTGTTAATTGTATTCTGGTTGTCTTGCAGATCCTTTGTTCCTTTCTTCCTGTCTTATGGTTTTCCTTTGTGATTGGATGGTTTTCTCTAGTGACATGGTTCGATACTTTACTTTTTATATTTTGTGCATCAACTGTAGACTTTTGCTTTATGGTTACTATGAAGCTTATATAAAGCATTTTATAGTTACAACAGGCTAGTTTAAGCTGATAACAAATTAGCTTTAATTGCATTAAACACTGTATGCTTTTACTTCAACTTCCCTCAACATTTTAAATTTTTGATGGCACAGTTGACACCTCTTTATATTGTGTTTCCCCTAGCAAGTTATTATAGCTATTATTATCATTAATAGTTTTGTCATTTACCCTTCATACTAAAAATACAAATGATTTATATACCACCAGTAGACTACTAGTTTTCTGAATTTGACTATGTACTTGTTTATGAGTCATCTTAATACTTTCAGGTGTTTTCATTACTAATTATACTCCTTTGTTTCAGCTTAAAAAAATTCCCAATAGGCTTTCTTAGGAGACAAGTCCGATGGTACTGAATTACTTCAGTTTTGTTTATCTGGAAAAATATTTATCTGTCCTTAATGTCTGAAGAATATTTTTGCCAGATACAATATTCTTGGTTGACAGTTTTGTCCTTTAGCTTTAAATATATCATTCCACTCTCTCTTGTCTGTAAAGTTACTGCTGGAAAGTTCAGTGCTTGCATTATTGAAACTCCCTTATGTGTGACTTGCTTCTTTTCTCATGCTGCTTTCAGGGTCCTCTCTTGGTTTTATACTTTCAACCATTTGGTTATAGTATGTTTTGGTGTAGTCTTGCTTGGATTGAATCTGAATGGAGACCTTTGACCTTTCTGTACCTGGATATTTACATCATTCTTCAGATTTGAAAGTTTTTCTGCTATTATTTCTTCAAATATTCTTTCTACCTCTTTATTTCTCTCTTCTCCTTAAACTCCTATAACTCTAACACTTGATCTTTTCTTGTATTCCCATAGATCTTTTAAGACTTTTTTATTCCTTGTTATTCTTTTTCCTGTTTTCTTTTTATATTTGAAAGTAACCTACCTTCAGGTTCACAGGATCTTTTTTCTGCTTGATCACTTCTGCTAGTGATGCTTTCTCTTGCTGTTTTCATTCCACTCATTGTATTTTCAGCTCCCAAATTTCTGTTTAATTTTTTAAAATTTATATCTCTGCTAAATTTATTATTTTGGCCACTTATTATTTCCCTTATTTTATTCAATTGTTTCTTTGTATTTTCTTGAAGTTTACTGATCTTCCTTAAAACAATTATTCTGAATTCTTTGTCAGACTGTTTGGGGTAGAACCCATTTCTTTGGGGTCAGCTACTCAAAGATTATTGTGGGTTTTCTTTTGTGCTATTGTGTCTTTTTGTTTTTTAATATTTCTTCTTAATTTAGGTTGAAGCCTGTACATTTAAAGAAGCAGGAAATTATTTTAGTCTTTAAAGATTGGCTTTGTCTGGAAAAATCCTTGACCACTTAGCCCATGCAGAGATTCTGAGGAGGCTGTCTGTTATGGCCTGCATGCTGGCTTGATGTGGGAGTCCTTTGGAGGTTGGTCTGATGGGTCTGTGGGGTTGAGTACGGTGCCTGAATCCACTGGAGTCAATCTGTTGATTGGGTTGGTACAGATGGGCCTGAAGCTTGTATCCTCAGGAGACAACCTGAATCCTGGGTCCACAGGGGCTGTCCTGGGACTGGGGTTGGCCTTAAGTTGGAGTCTGCAGGAGCCAACCAGGCACTGGGATAAGCCTTATGCCTAGGTCCACTGGGATGCGTCTGGAGCTTTAGGCCATGGGAACTGTCCCGATGCTGTGGTGGGCTTGGAGCTTGAGTCCATAGGACTCGTCCTGGAGTCTTGGTGTACAGGAGCTTGTCTGGAACTTCATTCTCTAGTGGTGCTCCTGGAGCCTGAGTCCAGGGGGGTCACACAGGTACTAAGGTGATATTGGACCCTAGGTCTTCTGCAGCCTGCCTGGACCCTGGGGCCAGACTGGTTCTGGAATAGGCATGGAGCCTGGGACTAGTCTGGGGCTACTAGGGGCTAGTCTGGAGCCTGGGATTATTTGTGCTAGCCTGGTTCCTGGAGCCATGGGTGCTTTCCTGGAGTCTGAGGCTGTGGGAACTGGTTAAGATCCTGGTTATTCTGGGGCTGACCTGGAGTTTGGGTGTGTGGGTGTTGGGCTGGAGGCTAGGTCTATGAGGGCTGGCCTGATTCCTAGGGCCACAGGGGCCTGCCTGAAACCTTGGTTCACATGATTCATTCAGACTTGGGGTCTAGTGGGATGGGCCTGGACCCTGGGACTCTTAAAGCAGGCCTGGACCTGAGCCTACTAGAGCTTGAGGTCATAGGAATAGGCCTAGTAGGTAGGGCTGGCATGGCATTGGGCAGGCCTGGAGCTTGTGTCCACAGGCGCTGGCCTGTTGCCTTGGAGTAGGGGTGCTGATTTAGAGTTGGGGCATGCTAAAATCCTGGGGTTATGTGGACTGAATGGGCTTTGGGCTGGTCTGTATTCTGGGGTAGGCCTGGAGCCTGGGGCCACAGGGGACAGCTTGGAACTGAGTAGGCTTTGAGCCTGTATCCACAGAGGCTGGCCTAGAAGTTGAGTTTGTGGGTGCTAGCCTGATGTCTAGGGCTGTAGGAGCTGACCTGGTACTAGGGCAGGCCTGACGTCTGGGGCTGTGGGGGCCAAAGTAGTGCCAAGGGTAGTTCAGGGGTTGGCCAGGCATCTGAATCTCTGGGGGCTGACCTGGCAATGGGGTAGGTCCTAAGCCCAAGGCCCCTGTGGGCAGCATAGAGCCTGGAGTTTCTGGGGTCAGCCCAGTGCTGGGGTGTCCCAGAGACTGAGTCTGCTGAGCAGGCCTGCATCCCGGGTCTGTAGGTCTACCAGGGTGGACCTGGGGGCTCAGTCCATAAGTCCCAGCCTGGCATCTGGGGCCTGGGTGGCACTGCATTTTACTAGAGTGGGCCTGGTGTTGGGTCCAAGGCAAAGTGTGGCTCTCTCTTCACTCTCCTTCCCCTTTGTGGATGATACCTCATATAACACCATGGTATGTAGGGTTGGAGTAGTGCTGATGTGCGTCATGTAAAACTGTCCTTTGTTAACCTCTTCAATGTGTCTTTTTTTAATTTCTTTTTTATTTCTTTGCTACACCCAGGTGCTGTGATCTCTCACTTGGTTTCCTTAGCTTTTGCAAAGACATTTTTTGTGTATGGATAGTTATATAAGTTGATGTTTCTGTGGGGTGTGAGCGCTTGAATGTCCTAGTCCACCATCTCACTGATGTCTGAAGACAATACCAAATATATGCTATTGTATATATTCTGATTTTAGAATGAGGACACTGAAGATCAGAGAAGTTGTTTGTGCAAAATCATAGACAAGGGGATTTGAGTATGTGAAACTCCTAAACCATACTTTTTTCTGTCCGACATTTGGTGTATGCAAAAATGAAACTGGGTTAGGATATGGAGTATATAGACAGACAGACAGAGAGAGAGAGAGAGAGAGAGAGAGAGAGAGAGAGGAATATAGAGGGTATAGAATATAGAGAGTATAGAGTTAGAGTTATTGAAAATAGCGCTGGCCGACTGCAACGTAGAGATGCTAAAGAGAAGCTGCTATGTCCTCATGTATCCTGTTCACTGTTTATTTGACTAGCATTTAAATATGTAATATTACTACTCTTTAGGGTATTACTGATATAGCTGACATTGTCCTATGAATAATTTAGCATGGATAGTTGACAGCAAGGCTCTGTTGTACAGCTGGCAAGAGCGCTTCCCCTGGAGTTGACTGCCAGTGTGGGAAGCCTCACTAGCTGCCAACCTTGCACATATTCCTTGACTTTCTTGGCCATTAGTTTCCACCTCACAGGGTTGTTGTGAGGATTGAATGAATTAATACATGTAAAGTCCTTCAGGGGTGGCGAGCATGTTGTAAGTGCTTAATAAATGTTAGCTATCATTGATAGTATGGATTTTGTTTCCCTGGATCTTAGCCTAATGCAAAACAAAAAGCTTCTTAAGGGATTAAGTTCAGATTCAACACTCTCTACTGCCTGATGAGTGGCAGACACTACTAGTCAAATACACCACTCTTTACCTCAAGGCCTGGGCGAGGCATGAGGATCCTTACCTCCAAATGCTTCAACCCATAACTAAGAAGAAATTGTGTTTGGCTTGTAGGAATAAACCTATTCTGCCATCCTGGGAAATAAATTTTTTAAAATTAATAACATTATGCACTAAGAATAAAAGTGCCATAGCATCCTGTTTAAAATAAAGCTACCTCAATGCAGATTGGTTTTATGAAACTCTGTTCTAATACTTTAAGTGAGAAAACGCACACACACACACACACGCGAAATATGATTTGAGAATCTAAAATTGAAACAAACTAAAATAAAATTCGGATTTATTTCCTGGATAATCCTCCAGGAAACTTGTCTACATATATAATCTCCAAAATAAAAATTGGTGTGGCCTCCTGCATCATGGTGTCAGTAAGTTCTATTTCCTTTACTTAAACTGTGTTTCCTAGTTTCTTTTAAGTGGCTAACTCTAACTCTCTTTAGCTTTGCCTCAAATAGCCCTTCTTCTGGGAAGCCCTGCTTCACTTTTCATTTCTTTGTTAGTATCCCTTCGTCTGGTTTTGTGGGTTACCTCCGCCGTAGTCCTTAACCAGGAAATCATGAGTTAGTAAGTTATCCCCCTAACCATATCATAAACTCTCTAATGAAAGGAAGTTGCTTTGTATTTGTATTAGAGGAGCCTGGAATCATCCCTTGTGCGCAGTAGATACTCAACAAATACTCCACTTAACGAATGTCTTTACCTAAGTCAGATCACATAGAACATTTTTTTTCTGCATTTACAGCTCTTCTCATGGTTTCTTCCACATCCTCTAAGTCCTTTGAACAGCTGATAACTACTGCTTTAGACACAAATTTTCACCTAAAACTTTTTTTCAGTCATTACCCTGAAAATATGAAATATTTACCATGAGGTTAACATTATTACATAGTTAGTAAAAACCTTTTTTTTACTGCTTTAAGGATAGTAAAACAATGAAATTAAATTTTATTACTGTTCCCATATTAGAATAGAAAGATTTTCACCGTGCTATTTTCTGAAGATGGCAATTAAATCATAGTTAAGGATGAATAAGATCTTGGCATTTTGAAAACTCTTATTCATCCTTCACAACCCATTTTAGATAACCCCTTATGAATCATTTATTTTCAGCGCCCTTTAAGGGGATCCTTCCAATTCCTGTGCTGCTTTCCCATCTTGTACACAATGCTGCTATTGCAAGAACCACTATATTCTGTAATTATTTTTCATGTCCATCTCCTCAATTAACAAGAGTGCTAGCTTTCTGACAACAGCTTTCATCTTTTTTGTCCCTTGCACAGAGAATAGTGCTTGGCACAGAATAGGTACTTGGGACTTTTGTTGAATTAAGTGTATGGCACAGTGAATGGAACAAAAAGGCACACATTCCATTTCAGATCACTTGCTTGCTTTGAAAGAGACTACACAAAGGATTTCTAATTCAAGATGATCTATTATAATCATCTCATGGAAGCCATTATTTTCAGAAGGCATGATAATAGCTTTGCTGTGTTGAAATAGATTATAAAGTTTTTGGCTTGAAACTGTGCTACCCAAAACAGAGAAAGTATAATCAAAAATTGATAAACTTGTAGAGAAACAAAAATGGGATTCAGCATTTTTTCTTATTCTACAATGGACAAGGGATTTCTGGATTGGTCTGTAAATCCTCAAGTAACATTTCCCCCTTATGAGTAAAGGGAACAAAATTTATTTAACATACATTGTTAAATATTCACTGACAAATTGTTTCAAAATTGTAGTTAACATACTAACTAAATATTCACTGGGAAATCGTTTCAAAATTGTAGTTAACATACTAACTTTCTTTGATCTGATTTTAAGGGCCCAAGCTAATTTATCTTTAAGCTTTTTCACACACATGCATGAACATGCACACACACAATATCCAGTAAAAAGTCCACAGAAAAATACCATAACATATATTTGGTATATGGCCCAAATGCAATATCATTCTAAATACATGCACCTACAGGCATATGGTTTTTTTCTATATATAAAATCCACTGCTAATTCTAAGTGCTTTCAACTTCAATTTTCCAAGTCAAGGTTGTCAGAATCTTCAAAATTATTAAAGTAGGGTACCAAAGCACATTAAATTTTCTGTTCTTATGCTGTATTGCTTGCTGTTTGGTTTTGTTAGCATATGCATTTTATATATAGCGTATCTAGCTACAAATCAAGATTCGTTCCATGAAATAACTGGTTTGGAATGCTAATCTTTGAGTCTCCCAATCATCTTCAATTAGGCATTGATGTTGTAACAGGTAGTTATTTCTGCAGGAGGGTGACTTTTAGTTCATCAGTATGCAGGAAAATGTTTTTCTCTGTTTGCACATTTATATTCATTCACAAAACTTGATTATGAATATGTTTGCAACCTGGTCTTTAAATTATCTTGAATATATTCTAAATGAATAGAATTTGGAGGATTTACAGACCTGTAAACACCATGAAAGTACCTGATTTCATTTTAGTCCTTTATAAGGAAGAAGTATGTAGTCTTTGAGTTAGATAGGAAGATCTTAACCTCATAAATAAAAGAACCTATCTCTCGCATCCAGAAAAGGAATGATTAAAGCTATTTGTAAGAGTCATCTGTGAGATCAATGTACTTAGCATTTCTATCATTTTCAGGATTCACATTTTATCCACTTGAATCAATATGACTGAGGGAGCCTGTGAAGCAACCAGCAAGTTTATCTGGATAGTGTTCCTTATGAAACTGACTTCAACTTAGAAAGACGATAGTGTTCCTTATGAAACTGACTTCAACTTAGAAAGACGATAGTGTTCCTTATGAAACTGACTTCAACTTAGACGATGGTGTTCCTTATGAAACTGACTTCAACTTAGAAAGACGATAGTGTTCCTTATGAAACTGACTTCAACTTAGAAAGACGATAGTGTTCCTTATGAAACTGACTTCAACTTAGAAAGACGATAGTGTTCCTTATGAAACTGACTTCAACTTCGAAAGACGTCAGAAGAAAACAAGGAAAGCCCATGACGTTTTAGCCTTCACGAAAGCTACGGAATTGCTATAGTCTGAAGATGAGAGCACTTTCCTTAATGCAACCTCATTCTAAATTCTGATGGAATGAAAACTTTCTTATAATGATTATTCAAATCTTTATTATCTGACAAGTCCAGGGACAGTTGTAGTGATGTCCTAAGGTCTTTATTAGTGGAGGAAAGTTGTTAGGTAGCATTGAGGAGTGTGTGAATGCGGAAGGCAGTGGTAACTGAGTTCAAAATCTGACTCTACCATTTACTTACTAGTTATGTGTCTTTAGGAAAGATATTATCTGTGCTTTTGTTTGTTTTAACTTAACATAAAGGTGAGAAGATTCAAACCTCATAGGTTTTTTAATGAGGAATAAATATGCTAATAGATATTACATGCTTAGGACAGTCTCAGACACAGAGGAAGAGCTAAATAAATATACACTATAAATATATCTTACATTTTAAATAAAAAATTATGAGTACTTTTTTATCCCTCTCCCTTCTCTTTCTTTAAGAATTATGGTCACAAATTGAAACTAGTCTATAAAATGAGGAATGTTGATTTGTTAAAGGACAAAGTAGTTAATATGTTTTGGAACTTTGAAGATGCTATCTGATGTTCATATCTGAAGCCACAATTTTATATCTTGCAATATCTTCAGATTAACGGAAATCCACTTTCTATTGTGTGACTTCTCCACATCTTTAGGTATAATAATTATATAAAATTAGAAGATAAGCCACTTATCTGTAAATATTCTAGAAAGGCAGAATTTTACTCAGAATGTACATTCAGCTCAATATAACCTGTGTTATGGAAAGTGGAATCTTCTCATAGTAGTGTCATGGATATGGTATATTCTCACAAATTATTTCTTTTTTTATTTGAGCCAACACATATTTCTTTTTAAATTAACTCCTGAAATAACTTTCCCATCTGTATTAAATAAAGCACTGGGTTGTTGATTAATACTATGTAGAGAAGGATTCCATAGCAAAACAATGTTTTCTAGAATAGAAGTGAATATGTTTGTTTATTCTAGAACTTCCTGGAATTTCAAAAATGTCAGTACATATTGTGAGTCTGTAAGAGGTGGGTCAAAAACTCATTTTACCAAAGATGCTTGTTGAGAGGCAACATCTTCCAGGCCTGAATTTCAGAGATACAATGGTCTGAGAAAGCTGCCATATTTGTGGCATATAGCCAGTATGTGTTAGGCAGTTGAGACTTCATTTCAGGTACGAAACAATAATATTGACAATTACCCTCATTCATGATTCTGTCATTGGTGGAACCATTGTCTGTTGGAAGTATTTTTCTTTGAAAAGGGGATAAACATATTAACCATCAGCACAATTGGTGATTGCTGAGTAAACAGAAGGGACTTATGCTGTTAGCGCTTCAATATTCTACCTCATCTGTCTCCTCAAAAAGAGAATTGTAGAACGATAAAAGAAATCTACTGTTGGGCTTTCTTTAAAAGCTAGAGCTTCTCACAATATATAATTAAGTATAATGGAGAAATTCTGCAATGCCTTTATTTGCACAATTCTGGGTTGTTCATGGAGACAATAACTGAAGCACACACAGAGTTCCAGAAGCTTTATTAGAGAATGGCTTGGACAATGAATCTCTCAAGCTGAGCTCTGATTGGCAATCGAGTCCCTTTTATAATGGCACATCTGTGTACCAATCTCTAGTGGTATCTGAGCACAGCTGGGATTACAGCGTTGACAATACATAAAAATGGGAATCAATGCATTTTTGTTTGAACTTCTTTATGCCTTATTTTGATGCATAAGAGCAAACTTTTTGTCTGTAATTTTTATCTTAATCTGTGATTTGTTTTCTTTTTCTTTTTGGAAACAACACTACACCAGCATTTCAAAATCTCTTGATGATTAAAAATTTAGGACTCTTTTCTGTTCCGGAAAATGTCAGTGTTTGAAAACAAATATAACTTTGTAGGACATTCAGAAATTATGTTCCTTCTATCATCCTAGGTATTTCTTTCAGGAAGTAGATTGAACACATTTTTCAAATGTTGAAAAGAAAAATTAACCAGTCTGAGAATTTTCTTCATCTTTGGCCAACCTAAAGAAATGTTTTATTCATTCAAATTAGATTTGATATAAACATCAAAAGTCCTTTTTTTTTTTTAAACAAACCTTATTGGAATACTATGGAAGTCAAAGTAAATAGTCTAAAAAGAAAACGCGTGGAGTATGACTTTTGTTAATTTTGTATATTTAAGTTTTTAGAATTACTTCTGAAGAGATAAATTTTAAAACTAGGTGTATCAGACTCTATGATATATGTAATATTTTTGTGTGGTTCGAAACAACAGGTAAAGTTTATATATGCTACAGGAATGTAAGGCTAGCAGATGAAAGTATGTATTAAACATTCGTATATAGTCTTACTTATATAAAAATTACAGTTTAGGATTACTTTACATGTAGAGTTGATGCAAATGGAACAAAATTTAAATAAATATCTATGTATAATCTGGTACTTTTCTCACTAATTTCCAATCTCATATGTCAGAAATTGCTCTAAGACTAATTTTCTCTCTCCATACCCATGATAATATATTTTTAAGACCAAAATCTCAATCCTTTCTTGGATGTAAGTCCTACATGGCATGTTAGCAGTTCTAGAATTTCAGGTGTTGGTTGTCATCAAATCACTGGTGACACTTCAGGAGAATGGGATTTCAAACTAAGAAGCCTTTGACCACTGTATACTTTCTTTCTTAACCTGTGGTTTTTTAGCACTCTCTTTTATCACCTTTACAGCCTCTCTACCTCTCAGCTAGCAAAAGAAAAATCTGCCTGAGGCAGAAAGGTTTTATTTTTCAGTTTTTCCTGCCCTTTAAAACTGTAGCAGAAATTTATTATTTTAAAAAAGAGGAAAAAATCAAATTATGTGTCCTTGAGATGACAGCCTGAAACTCATGTGTCTCCCTTGTCTCAATTAGAAAAAAAATACAGCACTTCTCTCTCAAAAGATGGAGAGAGATTTGTAGCAGGAATGATTGAACCTTGCAGTTGTGTGTGTGCGGGAAGCTCACATCATTTGTTCAAATGCTTATACTGTTCTTGGTTTCTAAACTTAGAATAGACTATGAATTTCATTTCATTCCAACAAATTTGATTCATAAACATTATGTTAAATGTAGTCATTAAAATGAGTCTCTTTTAGGTGAGTATTAAACCTAGAGAGTATTTTAAGTTACTGTCTAGTTCCAAACTTTTGCTGAAATCTTTGCTCAGGACTTTGCTTGAAACTCATCTTTCAACCACTATATTATTTATTTATTTATTTATTTATTTATTTATTTATTTGAGACGGAGTCTCACTCTGTCGCCCAGGCTGGAGTGCAGTGGCGCCATCTCGGCTCACTGCAAGCTCCGCCTCCGGGGTTCACGCCATTCTCCTGCCTCAGCCTCCTTAGTAGCTGGGACTACAGGTGCTCGCCACCATGCCCGGCTAATTTTTTGTATTTTTAGTAGAGATGGGGTTTCACCATGTTAGCCAGGACAGTCTCGATCTCCTGACCTCATGATCTGCCCGCCTCGGCCTCCCAAAGTGCTGGGATTACAGGCTTGAGCCACCACCCGGCCTGACCACTGTATTATTATTACTAATGCTTCTGCTAACGAGGGTAACCTGGGCCTGGTTACACTGCTCTACTTTTTCTTTTATCTGCAGCATTGATCACCTTCTAACATTCCATATAAATAGTGTGTTTAATAAGTCTCCTATTTATTGTCTCTAGTTCTTCAATTTCGAGAGTATAACTCTACAGAACCAGTGGATTTTATTGGTCTTATTCAGTGATTTATTTCAAGGAGCTAAAAAGTAAATGCCAGGCACAACTCTCACTAAATATTTGCAGAATAAAAATTTACATGTTAGCAGTGTCTCCTCAAATTTATGCTTCTATAAACAAATTGAGATTTTTTTTCCAGTGGATATAAACCAAAGAAAGTGTCGATTTTATATAAATTTGTTAATATTTCATGGCCATCATATTTAGCAACATCAAAAGCACCATGAAAACTTTACTATAAACATGTATTTGTTTATGGTGCCTGGTTATCTGCAAAGTCCATAGTTGAAATCATTGTCTCCAATTTCCAAGATATACTAAGAATACAAACAAAAACCCCACTGTGAATAACATACCAATTGCTTTGGTCTTATAATGCTCAAGAAACATGATTGTGATAGTCAAGTTAACTTTTGTAATGATCTTTTTCTAATATTATTACTTAATGGCTTAAATATCACTTATCCTGGTCCCTGTATTCTGCACTCCATAATCTTCTATTTAACTGTTGCAAATGACGTCATTAAAGCCGACTGGGAAACTTTTCTTAATCCCAGAGAAGTAACCAGAATAAACAGAAGAAGTCAGTCAGGTTAACTTTGAAAAATGGTAGATCACTTAGTGTTTTATATCCTGGCAGGCTCACAGGCCAAATGGGACTCTCTCTCACATAACCTTTTTTGTCTACTGTCCACTATTCAATACTCTATTGTGAACATACCGAAGATTATTCTCAAATTCTCCATGGCATGGGATAACTTTTTAGATAATTTCCGGTCTCTTGCATGCCAATATTTAAAAAATATAATAAAAATGTTGTAGCAGTATCACATTTCTATAAAGCTTTCTGAATAGTTTTAATTGCTGTACATATTTTGTTGACTGGTGGCAAACATTTCAGACACTGGCAGTGGACTGAGACCCATACTTTGAGTAGCATGAACAGCCACACACATAGAAGGAATTAATGTGTCCATTAATGGTCCATTTCAGAAAAACGGAACAAAAAGGAATGTGTGTGGGAGAGAAGGCGCGAGTCTTTGCATCTTGTTGTCTTCCACTTGATGGCAAACTGTAAACAGCATCACATTTCACCTGCTTGGGAAGCAGGTTTCACGGTAGACACTCCCTTCCCAAACCTGGCCACAAACCAGCAGGCTGCTGGGGAAAGCTCAAGAGCCACCATGATAGTCAATCTTAAACTTGTGCACCAAAGTCATGAACTTGATTGACTTCACAGAAGAAGCCCCTCTCAGATGCTATTTAATCTGTTTCATGTTCAATTTTCAGCAAGCGTGATTATCTGATTTTCCAGCTCATAGAGTAGAAACAGATGATGACAGCTGGCAGCAGGAAGAAATAACAGTTACTGTTCTCTGGCAACAAGAGGAGTTGATAGCTGACTGACTAATCAGACAAAAGGATGAAGAAAATGCCCACAGTAGTTTAAGGTCATTTAGTATAGGGCTGACAAATCCCATCCACCTGTCGGGTCCAAGGCTTACTGTCGGAATGTGAGGTTCTGCCACACACTGGCTGTGAAACGTACGTTACTTAAACTCTATAAACCTTAACGTCTTTATCTATGAAATGTAGAAAATAGTAATTCTTGCACAAGACTATTTGAATGTCAAGTAAAATAACACATAAAATTATTTTGTAATTGGTAAAATAGCTACATTGAATATGAAAGTTATAATAGTTATTACTATTGCCATGTTTTGTCTCTATAGAATTGCATTGCTAGCATACTGATCCTGTATCATCAAGATGAGTTATGTGTTGTTCTATTTAAGAAATCATTTAGGCCAGGCACGATGGTTCACGCCTGTGATCCCAGCACTTTGTGAGGCCGAGGCGGGTGCATCATGAGGTCAAGAGATCGAGACCATCCTGGCAAACATGGTGAAACCCCGTCTCTGCTAAAAATACAAAAATTAGCTGGGCGCGGTGGCTCATGCCTGTAGTCCCAGCTACTCTGGAGGCTGAAGTAGGAGAATCGCTTGAACCCAGGAGGCGGAGGTTCCAGTGAGCCGAGATTGTGCCACTGCACTCCAGTGTGGTGACAGAGCAAGACTCTGTCTCAAAAAATAAATAAATAAATAAAATTAAAAAAAAGATATCATTTCATTTTAGAAAAATTGGATCTAAATTTCTCAACATTTTCTTCTTAAAGCAGCAGAATTACATGATTAAAATATTCACCTACCTCACTGAATTTTTTATTACATGTGTTTTTGAACAAAATGAAAGTATAAATAAACAAATTCCAGTAATTCATTTATATGAAATTCATATAAAGACAGATAGAAGAGTTTGAAATTATCATTGTTACCTTGATCAGGTCACCTTAACGGTTTTGTGCCTGTCTCATTATGATTGCATGTGCAGTACCAGAAGGACCAGTTTATAGCATTATTACAGAGGGCAAAATGTGAAAGGTAATTTATGCACAAGGTTATGTTTCTATTTATGTTATTTCCATAAAATTGGGTCATCAGGATGTTTCTTAGAAAAGTTATAGTGTGAACGGGGTCAAAAAGAGACAGTATATTTCAGTAATTCTAAGAATTAGCAAGGGCATTCCAGGAGGTGGTCAAGGTGTATCTAGAAGGTCAGAGACATCAATGCTAATTTTTAAGTTCCAGTAACAACAATAACAATAACAAATATAGACCATTTGGCTAGAAAGAATAGGCCTCAGCAGTGAAAGAAGGGCCTCAAGATAAATCCTAATCAATGGAAGTCACTGGAGAAGTGTGGATCCTGTGGTGAGAAACCATATGTGGATTAACACGTCACATCCCACGCAGGGTGAGTAGTGTTCTCCGTAACTGTTAGTTTCTTTCTTCCCTTAACCCCATACAGTGTTTCAGTAGATTGGTTGAGAGATCTCAATTTCTATCCTGTTGTGCCAACGTAAGTAAGCCTTGTTAATTCCCTTTTTGACTTATAAGTTGGAAGTCAGAGGGGTGTACAACCTCAGATAAGCCAACAGATTCTGATCTGTATGCTATGTAATAGCCACGTAAGTGAGGCCCTAGAACACAAGTCTGAACGGGCCCTTTCACACATAGCTACAAATCTGTCACACATTCAGAAGATACAAGGCAATATTTTTTTCCAGTTGTAGAGAGTACCATGAGGCCTGAATTCACCATATTAGTCAGATATAATCAAATTAATTTGCAGCAAAACATAAATTGCACTTCTTTTTTCTTTATCCTATGATACATGGAATTGATACCAGTTCTAAATCTATTAGATTTGCAGGTGCAGCAGCATTTTAGCTTAATACCATTTTTGATATGGATAATTTTAGAAATAAAATAGTCTCTCTTGTTGGGGCATTTTGTTAATTCTTTCATTTATATCCAAAGCACTTGATCCCAGATGAATTTTCTGGGATAAAACACTGTCTAAAGTTTCTGTACATAAATGTCTCTTTTAGCAAAATTTTCAGGATATGATTTGATTTCAAGAGACCAAGCATTTTAAAAATGTAGATTCATTTCCTAATCCACTAAAATAACCACTTTTAACTGAATTTCTAAATTTTACCTAAAATGATGTAAATCCTGACATCTTCATGTTGACAGAATGACTATGTGAAGAAAGGCTTATGTTTATAGAAGAACACAAGTGTGGATAGTTTAAATAAGCACTGTTGTGTTAGCTACTTTTCACTGTATATTAAGACATATTCGCTAAGAACTTGACAGGTGAAGTACTGACCATAATGCAAATAACTATCTTGTAATTAAGATAAATTATAATTCACTCTATTAGAAAGGAGCATGCCAGTTATATTATTTAATATTGTCCCTTCCTGCACTATAATAGAATTGTGTATCTGGTTGAGGTGACTTCAAAAGTGCAAGTTAATATTTTCTGGTGGCGAGCTGACAGCGATTATATTTTAATCAAGAATAATAATGAGAGCCAGCCGCATTGACAGTATGCATAAGAACATCTCCTCATATATATATGCACCCATGTCCCCAGCCTTCCTCCCCAGCTCAGTTCTACCTGAGGTGGCAATTGAGGCAGTGTGGGAGATTCAGCTGCACGAGCCTGTTCCTGTATTGTTTCATAGGACAGATGTCTTCAATTACTATGGCAATGTGCACCTTGGATGAGTCAGAGATAAAGTGTGTGGGATTTTTAATTGAATTTTATTTGCATCAAATCATTTATATTGAGCAAACCAAGCTTAAATTGCTGATGACTGATCTATAAGAAGGAAACTTGGAAAGCCTTTTGGGGTAGCATGACTCAGTAGAGATGATCTTCTCCTCAGATCTTCAGTTTGTTTGGTGACTCCCAATCTAGTTTGGGGAGTCTCGTCTCTTCTATGTTAAAAGTACAGTGATATTGATGGAGGATGCTATAATCCATTTTGGTTCGTGCGCTAAATGCTCATAAAATATATGCACTTATATAACAATGACTTGCTAGTAAAATCATATATGCATTTTAATAATATATAAATGATGATTCTAAGTCTCCAGTTCTACCTAATCCCTGAATGCAAAGCTAATCTGCATGAGACTACTTGAATACCCAGAAAACTGTCTTTCGAATCTAGTATGTCCGAAGCAGAACTCTTCTTAGTTTTCCTAAATATGCTGCTTTCCCAGTATTTCTCCAGATGATCCTGAGATCTAAATCAATTGATGGAGACATGCTGGAGTCAGATCATTAGAGTCACTGATGCCAGTCAGATTGGAGGACATGACTTAGTTGTGGCATCACAGTGAGATTCCTGTGACTGCACTGCTCTCAGAGTGAGCTGAGAATGCCCCCCACCTCCCTTTGTCCAGCAAACACAGGTCAGAGGAGCTGAGAATGTAAGCCTGTTGAAGCCAAGCAGGCAAGAAAAGCTGAAAGGAAGGGACTGATCCCTCAGGCCTATCTTTGCCTAGATTTATCAATCAGGTGAGTCAAACCACCCCACAGAAAGGAGTGCTGGGGCTGAAAGAGGAAAGAGAGCTGCACAATTTGGAAATGTGAATCCATCAGAAATCAGCCTAACATATCCTGTTTCATTAAGCAGCTCTAACTTCCACTCGGGTGCATACGCCACAGATCCACGGTTGCCCTTTATCCTTCCTTTGTTGCCCATCTGTTCAAGTGTCTTCAAGACATATTCCAAATTCTTCCATTTCTCTGCACCTGGAAAACAACCATAGCCCCTTGCTGACCTTCAACTTCCATGCCTTCACCCCCATAAGTCATTCTCAGTCCAGTCCATCACATCAAATCACAGCTGATATGGTTTGGATCTGTTTCCCTGCCCAAATCTCATCCAGTTGTAATCTTCCATGTTGAGAGAGGGACTTGCTGGGAGGTAATTGGATCATGGAGGCGGATTTCCCCTTTGCTGTTCTCATGATAGTGAGTGAGTTCTCATGAGATCTAGTTGTTTAAAAGTGTGTAGCACTTCCTGCTTTGATCTCCTCTCCTGCTCCGGCCATGTAAGACATCCCTTCTTCCTCTTCACCTTCTGTGATGACTGTAAGTTTCCTAAGGCCTCCCCAGACATCCCTTCTTCCTCTCCGCCTTCCACCATGATTGTAAGTTTCCTGAGATCTCCTCAGCCATGCTTCCTGTACAGCCTGTGGAAGCATGAGCCAATTAAACTTCTTTTCTTTATAGATTAAAGCATTTCAGGTATTTCTTTATAGCAGTGTGAGAACGGACTACTACAACATCCCTTTCTACAACCTTCCAGTGGCTTCCAACTTTGTAGGCTGACTCAGTCACTTCCATAAATCTTCACCTTTGCCTTCATCACTTACCTTCTCCCCTCTGTCCCTGCATTCCAGCCCTCTAGTTGGCTTTTACTTCCTCAAGCCCATCAAACTGTTCTTGAGTTGGGGGCCTTTGCACCAGCTCTTCCCTCTGCCTAGACTGCTCCTCCACCAGACGTAGGGCTGGTTTCCTTTATCATTCCTGTCTCAGCTTAAATATCACCTCCTCAGAGAGGCATTTCCTGACTAACTTAGAGTACTGCCTCGTCATTTTCATCAAGACATATTTCACTGTAATACTGATTACTCCCTGGTATTTTCTTGCTTATTTGTTTTCATTTATTGCCTTCATCCATTCACTCAGTGCTTATTTTATCTCTTCCCACCTAAAAATAAGCTGTCTTGTTTATTTTTGATCTTGAAGACATCTCTGAGCTTAGAACAGTGTCTGTCCTATCGTGAAAGTTTAGAAACATGTGCCGAATGAGTAAATTTGTGTATGCACGATAAAATATTCCAGAGGATGTAGGTTTTGTGCTGGGGGGTGGCTTATGTGGAAGGGTAGAATATGTATAATTAACTTCTTCTTAGTTGTTTCTTGTGTTTGATATTATTTCAGTACCAGTGTCTTAAATGGAATTCTTTTGCATACAGCTTTGACTTTGAGCCAGGCGCAGTGGCTCACACCTGTAACTCCAGAGACTTGGGAGGCTGAGATAGGAGAATCACTTTGGGCCAGGGGTTCAAGACCAGACTGGGCAAAATTGTGAGAGAGCTCCTTTAGAAAAAAAGTTTTGAATTGCAAAGAGATAAGAGCATTTGTGAGAAACCAGTTCTGTTTCTGAATATGTTAGTGGAGCCCAACTAAATAAACTTTAAGTGTGATGATGGCCAGGCACCACGGCTCACACCTGAAATCCCAGCACTTTGAGAGGCTGAGGGAGGCAGATCACTTGAGCCCAGGAATTTGAGACCAGCTTGGGGAACATGGTGAAACCCTGTCTCTGTAAAAATATGAAAAACTAGCTGGGCATGATGATGTGAGCCTGTGGTCCCAGCTACATGGGAGACTTCGGTGGGAGGAACGATCACTTGAGCCTGGGAGGTTGAGGCTGCATTGAGCCGTGGTTGTGCCATTGCACTCAAGCCTGGGTGACAGAGTAAGACCCTGTCTCAAAAAAAAATAATGTGATGCTAATATCAGTTTGGACCTATGGTATGCAATTTAGGTGCCTAACAACTAGAAAAATAGGTCTTTTAAAAATTTACAAAAAGTTAAGGGGCATGCTGAGAAAGCTCAACCAAGGTCCACTGTGGATCAGGCCTCACTGTACGTGTGCAGTGAATGGGAGCATAGCAGTTGCAATACAGGTGTCTGCCCTCTGTTGACTATTTGCCTGGGAAACTGTCATTTTCATGCATTATCGAATCCTATATAAAAATTCTCTCATATGGGAATAATTATTACTCCCAGTTACTGATGAGGCAACTAAATTGTGGGAAAGGTTAAAAAATGTATCTACTGAAAAGTAACTAAAGTTTTAAAGCCAGAACTCAAATCTAGGCTTGAATCCATAAACTGATTTTTTAAACTATTATTTGATATGGTTTGGATGTTTGTCCCCTCCAAGTCTCATGCTGAAATGTGATCCCTCTTGTTGAAGGTGGAGTCTAGTGGGAGGTGTTTGGGTCATGGGGGTGGATCCTTCAGGAATGGCTTGCTGTCCTACTTGGAGGGTAGTGAGTGATTTCTTACTCTATTAATTATTACCAGATCTGCTTGTTAAAAAGAGCCTGGCACATCATTTCTCTCTCTCTCTCTCTTGCCAAATGACATGGCTGTTCATTCCCTTTGCCTTCCACCATGAGTAAAAGCTTCCTGAGGCCCTCACCAGAAGCAGATGCTGGCACCATGCTTATACAGCCTGCAGAACTGTGAGCCAAATAAACCTCTTTTCTTTATACATTACCCAGTCTCAGATACCTCGTTATAGCAATGTAAAATAGACTAACACATTACTTATGTAAATAATTATCAAACGTACTGGGGCAAGATTCTGTAAAGCAACTTGTGAGGCACTATGCTCTTAACCTAGTATAGAGCCCAGAGAGACTGGGAATACATTCAATGAGCGTCTGCGATAACAGTGCGTTCCTGGTCTACGCCCCTGGAAGAAGTCGCTTTATTCTTTCTTTGTGTCTCTTCTCTCTTTTACCTGAGACATCTATTGGGATCCTGCCAAGAGATTATGCTACAAACAGGAGAGAGCCATTTCTAAGCCCTCCCCACCCATCCACCTACCATCGCCATGTTATTCCCCTGGTGGATCAGATGGCCATGTGGCTTAGCATCTGCTGTGTATTCTGTTAGATCAAGATCCATTAGCAGGATCTGCTCTGAGTATCAAAGCAGTGGACAAGCAGTGAAACCAGTGAGAGAGATTGGAATTAATGAAATGAGAGGGGATGGGATGGGAAGGGATGGAATGGGGCAGGTGTAAGTCCATGTAAGGCGCTTCCAGAGGAATTCCAGAAATGTTTGGAGGAAATTTTGCAAAAGAATAGAGTCCCTGGATTAATGTTGGGAGCAAGACCTATATATTTTACTCGTTATGGCTAATCAGCAGGATATAATGGAGGGGAGTTAAATTAGTTTTAGCAATAAAGGCTGTCAAATGAATGTAAACTTCTAGCAACTGGAGATAGAGAGAAAAATAATTTTTACAAATAGTATTAGTCCATACATGTCAGGAAAATGGAAAGAAGGAAATGAAAAAGGAGATATGGAAGCAACAGAAGCAGCAGAAAATTAAGACCATGAAAAAGGCAATCAATAAGTTGCAAGTAAGAATTTTAATAAATTGGCTAGAAGGGAGGGATTGGAAACTGATATCAGAACCAAGCTATTTCTTATTGCTTAAACTACACACACACACACACACACACACACACACACACACACACACACGTGTATATTTCTTTTTTCTTTTCTTTTTTTTTTTTTTTTGAGATGGAGTCTCTCTCTGTTGCCTACGCTGGAGTGCAGTGGCGTGATTTCGGCTCACTGCAAGCTCTGCCTCCCGGGTTCACGCCATTCTCCTGCCTCAGCCTCTCCGGGTAGCTGGGACTACAGGTGCCTGCCATCACACTCGCCTAATTTTTTATATTTTCAGTAGAGACAGGGTTTCACCGTGGTCTGCATCTGCTGACCTCGTGATCCACCCGCCTTGGCCTCCCAAAGTGCTGGGATTACAAGTGTGAGCCACCGTGCCCAGCCACGTGTATGTTTCAAGTAACAAAAAGTATATTATAATCTGTCTTATTTTACAGTGTTTTTCAGACATTCATAAATAATCCATCTATCATCTATTTGTCAATTGATGCAAAGAAGATTTCTAAGTCTAATTATAAACACTTTATCCCAATAGACTTCTTCAGAATTTTTTTTTTTTAAGATGGAGTCTCACTCTGTTTCTCAGGCTGGAGTGCAGTGGCGTGATCTTGGCTCACTGCAGCCTCTGTCTCCCAGGTTCAAGCAATCCTTCCACCTCAGCCTCCCAAGTAGCTGGGACTATAGGTGCACACCACTGTGCCCAGGTAATTTTTGCATTTTTTAGTAGAGATGGAGTTTCGCCATGTTTGCCAGGCTGGTCTTGAACTCCTGACCTCAAGTGGTCTACCCGCCTTGGCCTCCCAAAGTGGGATTACAGGCATGAGTCACCATGCTGGTCGCCTTTTTTCAGAAATTTGAGGCCCCTAATGAGAAGACCAGGTTTGCGGTAGTTTTTACAGAAGGCTGCTTGGGCCAGCTTATTTTTGCCTAAAGAGAGTAGATCTGCAGCAGTATTTAACTTCAGCTGCTCACTTGTATAAAACTAATTGTCTGGACAGAATTGTGAGGCTGTCACAATGCTCACACCTATCCTGAAGGAATCAAGCCTTTTATAAAGTCAGTATGGACTCCTGGTCATGGAAACACCTTCAGCTTTGGTGATTAGTGTGCACTGAAGGACTAGCCATATGGCTCTCAAATGTGAAGGGTGTTTTGGATAAAGTGTCCATGCTGAGTAGCCAAATGCTATGGATACCTGATCATAGACATGGGCAGCTGATGACCAGAGCCTCATGTTTCTTGAGTAGAAACATGTTGGTGCTTAAGGTCAACCAGAACACCTGCACTGAAACTTTCTTAGCAATAAGTGAAGGTATAAAGTAACTCTTTGTTAGGTGCTTAGGGAAGATATGAATAAAAACCAGCCTTCATTTACAAAGACACACGCAAAATGAAGCTACCATTCCTGAGTAAGTGGATAATATTATTTGGGACTGGCACCTGTGGCCACACATAAAACCACTGTGAACAGCCCCTGGCATCAATGCCTTGGGGGGCTGACACCACGCCCAGCACATCCCTTGGCCTCCATGGAACTGGCTTGTTTACAGAATGGCTGAGCCATTTCTTTTTTGACAGCGTCATTCCAGCATATCCTGACAACTAGAGTAGCTTCTCAGCTACCACAGTGCTCCAGGCTTGTTTTCAGTGCATTCTTGAAGGGTTTCATGAGATCACTCACCTTTGGACTGTTTACCTTCTGTCATTTCAGAAGGGAGATGTTTGAGCAAACAAACAGCATTTATTATTCTCACTAATCCTGATAAACTGAGTGGATTTTCACCCGTTTGGGATTGAACTCCAAAATGTGGCTACCTTTGAGGTTTTTCTTCCGTTTATCCCATCTTGAGGTAAAAAATATCAATTACAATAATAGCATTAAACTGAGAAAGCATGAATCTAGCTGCCCGAGCCCAGTAGAAACCAACTGCTTTGTCTCTATGCTTCCCACAAACATGCCTCGTTTGCTGTTTTCTTGTCAGTATAACTTGTAAAATGTATGTGTGTTTTTTCTTAATTATAACTACTATTCATTAAGCATATGATGTATAACAGATGCCTTTTACATAAACAATTCTGCAATGTGGAAAACTGAGAATTATTAAAGTTAAGTAATTTGTCCAAGTGCACAGACTTGGTGGTAAGTGCTGGAGTCCAAATTTGAAACCAGGTCTGTCTGTTCTGATTCTGGGTTCTTTCCACAACACCATGCAGCCTTTCACATTTAGCTTTTAGATACCTATAGAGGAGGAATCACTGAAGGAATAAAGGGAAGGAGGGGAGGGAGGAGAACATTAGGAAAAGGAAATAGGCATTACTTAAGTGATTTCACGTGCCTTTGAGGAACTATTTGTGGCCATATATTCCTTTCCGTTATAGATGCTAAGGGCAAGATTAAATGCACCCCACTTCAATTCATGGGAATAAAATACATGCTCAACGAAGTCCTTTCCATCCATAACAACTTTATGATTCCATTATCCAGGTCATTTTATTTTCAGTCTGTTGGCTTGTTCATAAAGGTTCATAGCAAGAATTTTATTACAGTACAGCCAGAGAGAAATGTATTGAGGCAATCCAATCCATATGGATTTTTATTTCAGAAATGGGATATATATCTGTACATCAAATAATCAAATAAGGGAGATAAGTCTACTCCATTTTCACTTAATGAGTCACCCTGTGATGCATGCATTTTCCTTTAATACAAACCAGGTATCATTTTGAAAATGTTACCATAAATCCATTTCTTAAAAATCCACCTGTTTGCCATTAAGAAGTTGGCACCAGACACCATACTACAGAACAGCTTTTCCAAATATAAACCTAAGAGCAAGATAACTTTAAACATTCTAAACATGACCTGATCATTCACCAGTACATGAGAAAACAAAACCAAATACCATCTTCTGGCCTTACAAATGAATAGAAAGGAAAAAAAAGCTGAAAATTACTGAAAAAGAAATGTTGAGCAGTGATTCTTGTATACGTATATATATATATGCACACACACATAAATAAATATATACCTACATTTATATATAAACATATTTATATTCTATAACATATTTTATATATTTCTCTTTATAACATTTATATAAAATATTTATATTTATATTATAAATATATAATAAATATATATTATATATTATATATAGTTTTATATGTTTATATATTATATAAACATATATGTATTATATAAATATATATTTATATGTTATATAAATATATATTTATATGTTATATATAAATATTCATATTTTTATATGTTCATATGTTTATGTATAAATATATATTTATACATTTATTTTATATATATATATATTTATATTTATTTTTTAGAAAAAGTCTTACTGTGTCACCCAGGCTGGAGTGCAGTGAGGTGATCATAGCTCACTGCAGCATGAACCTCCTGGGGTCAAGTGATCCTCTCACTTCAGCCTCCCAAATAACTAGGACTATAGGCATATGTCACCACATCATGCTAATTTTTTATTTTTCTGTAGAGGTGGAGGTTTGCTATGTTGCCCAGTCTGATCTCAAATTCTTGGTCTTAAGTGATCCTCCCACCTCATCTTCCCAAAATGCGGGTATTACAGGCATCCACCACCATGCCCAGCAATAAAATATTTATTTTATACCTTCACCTGTTGGATTAATAAACATATGTGCATGTACAGTATAATCAGAAAATATTGTTCAATTCATTAATAAGGACAAAGATGGATTTTAAGAGGTTTGCAATAATGCGATTGAGTAGTTAAACAGAATTCTGTGTGCAAGTTCAAAAATAGATGCAAATGTGACCTTCTAATAGAGCTACTCTTCTTTGACGTAATTTCTTGGTAAATTATGCCAAAATTAGATAATATATTTGTACTTATAAGCACCACAGTTAAATGAGAAAAGAATAAACTTATAGTACAAATGCACCGATAATTTTGTGATTTTAAAAGCCACCATCAATATAATTAATTTTGTCAAATTTTATGTACAATGGATATTTGCAGTGATAAGTTCATACAATAAACATTTTAGAGGAACACATTTAAATGATATTTTAAGCAGACATGATTTTTCTTTTAGCAGAGTACAGAACATACAGATTGGCAATGATACCTTTTGTGGGGAGACAGTATTTAGATAGTAGTAATACATGATGGAAGAATTTATTCAAAATTGAG